>NT_167247.2:2806318-2941991 GCF_000001405.40 Homo sapiens
GGCCAGCAGCCCTTGGTTGGTGCAGATGGTGATAGGACCAGTGGGTCCCACAGCATGGCCACACTGCACCTCCTTCGCTGTCAAGTGGGTCCCCCACGAAGATACTGCACGGAGAGCAGTGCCAAGCCTGTGGATCAGGAATATCAACAGCCCCCAGAGAGTGGTGCTGGCTGAGGGTCTGAGAGCAGGACAGGAAAACCCACCTATGGAATAGGTGCCTATCCCTGTGAAGATGAACCTCTGGCCCTTCCAGGATGGAAGGAGTGCAATGTAGTCAACTCCTCACTTAGGGTCTGGTTGGTCACCTAAAGAAATAGAGCCCTACCAGGGAAGATCATTGGGTTCAAATGCTGATGAGTAGGACATTTAGAGGTGGCAGTGTCTGGATCTACCTTGGTAGGAGGGAGTCAGTACTGTTGGACCCATAGGTAGCCTCATCCCTGCCACTGTGTTTGCTCCATTTATGTACCCATCCTACCCGGCCTGGGCTGACCCATGGGGAAGGCTGGCTAATTTCAGTGCTTCTGCTTGGTTGTTCAGGGCCATTTCAGGTTTGGGTGTTTTCTGGGGATGTTAACATGGGATTCAGGCTCAACTCACAAGAAACTTTTCCATCTCATGATGGATGCTGTTGGGCATGTCCAATGTATGACTTCATGAGTTACACAGATGCTAATTCGTAGGGGCACTTGGAATCACATGGTTGTTTTGTGTCCCATGGTCAAGCATTCTATCTTATCAGGGCCTACAGTAACATGCCAAAAGTTGCTTCCAACATATTTCTCTGCTTTGGATGGGGCATATTTCTGTGCTGTGGATGACATGGCCTTACTCCAGAATCCCAGGCCCTCCACTGTGACTCTCCTACTGGTGCTTGGTTCAGCTCCACCCCAAATCTTACCCCACCACTGGCACTTTCAGCACCAGGGGGTCTGAAGGATGGTGACTGCGCCATGGCCTGGATCTGCTGCAGTGTCCTTTCCTGTGGAGGCTCCACTCAAAGCTGGCATCCTCCTATGTCACCTAGAGTGTGGGTCAAAGCAATACACCTACATGTAGAATGTGATGTCAGAACTCAAACAGGCTCACCAGGCAGTGTGCTTCCTTCCTTGCATGAGGATGCAAGATGCAACAGTTTGTCTTTCACATTGGAAGGGACACCCCTGGATGCCCCTAACCACTAGACCTGTAAAACTTCACTGCAGTGGCCACTTCTGAATCTCTGTAAGGTTTATTTATCTTCACCCTCTGGAGAGAAGATGTTTTACCAAAGCCTCTAGTGTACCTTCCTCCTCTTACTCATCCATCCCAGTCAACATGATGTTGTCAATGAAATAAAGGAATTTAATATTCTATAGTATATCCAGGTTCTCCAGATCTCTTAAGACTGTACTATAGAGGCCTGGGGAATTATAATAGCCCTGAGGCAAACTATGAATTAAAGTGTTGTGGATCCCACATGAATCACTTTATATCCACTTTTGTGTGTGTGTGTGTGAGGCAGAGTCTTACTCTGTCACCCAGGCTGGATTACAGGTGCACACCACCATGCCTGGCTAATGTTTTGTTTTTGGTTTTGGTTTTGTTTTTGTTTTGTTTTTGGACAGAGTTTCACTCTTTTTGCCCAGGCTGGAGTGCGATGGCATGATCTCAGCTCACCGCAATGTCCGCCTCCCAGGTTCAAGTTATTCTCCTTCCTCAGTCTCCCAAGTAGCTGAGATTAGAGGCATGTGCCACCACGCCCGGCTAATTTGGTATTTTTAGTAGAGAGAGGTTTTCTCCATGTTGGTCAGGCTGGTCTCGAACTCCCAGCCTCAGGTGATCCGCCCTCCTCTGCCTCCCAAAGTGCTGGGATTACAGGCATGAGCCACCACACCCGGGCTATATCCACTTCTAATTGGAATGGAAGGGAATGCACTCACCACATCCACAGCTGCACACTGTGTGCCTGAGGCCTTATTAATCTGCTCTACCAGATATATCCAGCCAGCATGCTAGCTGCAATCAGGACTCCTACTTGGTCACATCTGGAGTAATCCCATTCATTCCTTAGTAATCCCATTCATTCCTTAGGCTCCATCAGGCTTATTTGCTAAATTACATGGAGATAATAGGCAACCCCAACACCACCCCACATCCTCCAGCTCTCTAATGGTGGTGCTACCCCCACAGCACTTGCAGTGCCTTCCACAAGATTCACCCTGGGACATATGATCATTTTTGATTTGGCCAGAATGGAGGCAGTTTCAGAGGTTTCCCTTTGGCCTTCAGCACAATGAGAGCCCTTACTCCACAGACTAGGGATGCAGTGTGGGGGTGACTCCAGCTGCCAGGGCATCAGTGTCAATTATGCACTAGGAGAATGGGGAGATAACCAGGGCTGGGTCTGTGGACTCAGTGACCCCATGGTGAGCCGTGATGTGTCCAGGTTTATTTCGTGGTCTCCGTAATCCCCAATGTGAGGGGGTCATGATGATGCTGTGGGCCTCTGGGCATCAATGTCATCTCACACCCAAAGTCAGTACTCCCCCAAGTTCTCCCTATTTCCCTTTCCCAGGGTACAGTCTCTAAAGTAAATGGCTGTAGGTCCCTTTGCACAATGGCTCAGGGAATTGACCCAGCATACACTTGCCACAGGGTTGCAGGGTCCTTCCTCCTAGGAATATGGACACCTCCTCTGTCACTGGGTTCTGAATCTGAAGCTTGGCTGAGATCTAGGCACTGAGAATGGATCATGATTTTGTATTGGTTCAAACACCCTCAGCCTCCTGCTCCTCAATTCTTGCTTTCTTATCATAGATACCAAGCAGTGCTCTTGCTGGCTGCCCTTCTGTTCTGACCCTGGAACACCACCCTCTATTAACCTTACCCACAACTGCAGGCAGGTCAAGCCCCCTCGGCTGCTCCTCTGGGGTTGCCATGGTAACCGTGTCCTCTGGCTTTTGCAGGTCACTGCCACCACTTGTTCTCTATCTCTTCAGGGCCACACCCTCTCCGTGGATATTAATGAGCCCAACTCTGGGACATCTTTTCCTACCATCACCCTCAGCCTTCAGAGAACAATACAATGAAACTTCTTAGTGATGCAGGTCCCTGTTGCCAGCACGTTCCTGAGGCTCTGGTGGAAGGTGGGCCCCCTGGGTCCTCTTATAAAGCACGGTTCCGGTGGGCTTTCCGGCCTCACGTAATGTCTCCATCCCACAGGCCAAATTCCCCCAGCCTCATTATTCCCTCTTCTACATGTTCCGGGGCAACTAAGTCAGGTCTAGCTTGTGAGATACCGGCATCATTTTTTCCCAGTCTACATGGATCACCCCAGCAGTGGGTTTGCCCCATGCCCTGGGGTCTTTGAAAAACCCATGTGATACGGTTGGCTGTGTCCCCAACCAAATCTCGTCTTGAATTTCCACGTGTTGTGGGAGGGACCAGGAGGGAAGCAATTAAATCATGGGGGCAGGTCTTTCCCATGCTGTTCTCATGATAGTGAATAAGTCTCATGAGATCTGATGGTTTTAAAAGGAGAAATCCCTTTCGCTTGGTTCTCATTCTTCTCTTATCTGCTGCCACGTGAGACATGGCTTTCACCTTCTGCCGTGATTCTGAGGCCTCCCTAGCCACATGGAACTGTGAGTCCATTAAACCTCTTTTGGTAAATTGCCCATTCTGGGGTATGTCTTTATCAGCAACATGAAATGGACTAATACATCATGGCTTGAGAAAGTGTTCCCAAGTCAAAGGATTTTTATCTATCTAGCTTGAAATTCTGTCCCTTTGATCAAATGCCCTCAAATTCCAATCCCAGAAGTGTTCCCCAGGATCCTATGTGGACATGCCAGCTAGTTCCTGCAAAGCTCCTGAGTGGAATTCCTGCTGCATTATAAGGGTGAGGCTTCTGCAGCATCTTCCAGCGTAGGAAGTGGGAACCATTACTGGAAAAGGCGAGCCTTCTCTGCATGCCCAGAGGGTACTGGAGGGCACCCATCTGATAATGCTGTCCTAGTTTGCAGAATCTCATGTTTCCCCACCAGGGCCCTGATTTTCCACAACAGGCCTGCCTTGGCTGAATGTCAAACATCTCTGGAGGTCTGTAACCCTCACAATGATATCTTCAGCTACCATTCCACACTATCTACCCTTTCGCTACAGGAAATAAGGGCCTCTCCATGAGACACTGCAGAGGCCTCACACGTAGCCAGTGACAGCTGTTAGAATCCCTCAGATTCTCATTCTCCTTTTATAGGGCATCAACACAGCTGAGCAGTAACCAGCCAGCTTCCCTGTTGTAGGTTTTCCCTCCCACCCTGTCATTATTGTGTAGAGGCTTCTATCACACCACCTGCCATAGCACCCGGGAACCAGGGCATCTTCTCAGGTCCGTGCTGGGGATATCCACAGCAGCTCAGCTGCACCTTGTGCCATGGACTTTCTCTGTCCCCAACCAACGTGGATGGCATTCTCGGCCTGCCAGGCAGTGGGCAAGCTCAGCCCCAATCCCCGTTTTTGTCTGTGTCTATGGACCACTCCTGAAGCCACTTGTGTTGGTTAGCATCCCCTGAGGAGCAGACTGCAATACAGAATTAAATGTGCCAGGATTTATTAGGGGAAATAGCCATGAAAGAAATTGGGGAGCAAGACAGAAAAGACTGGGAAAGCCATAAGACTGTGACGCAAGTGGCTTTTTTATTTTTATTTTTTGAGCAATCTCAGCTCACTGCAACCTCCACCTCCCAGGTGCAAGTGATTCTCATGCCTCAGCCTCCCAAGTAGCTGGGATTACATGCATGCACCACCAAACCTGGCAAATTTTTGTCTTTGTAGTAGAGGCGGGTTTTCACCATGTTAGCTAGGCCGGTCTCAAACTCCTGACCTCATGTGATCTGCCCACCTTGGCCTCCCAAAGTGCTGGGATTACAGGCGTGAGCCACTGTGCCCAACCAGACTGCAATGCAAGTTTAAACCCCAGTGAAGGAGAGAGGGAAGGAAGTTTGGCTGAAAGTATCCTAGACCCAGTGCAGGTTAAGAGAAGTTCAGTAAGGGTGAGCCCTGGAGCCTCAGTGGGCCTTTAAAGGAGGGACAATCCTGTCTTTGTTTCTCCTCTTCTCTCAATTATTGAATCGAAGAAGCCAATGGCAAGTATGGTCTGAGAGCAAACGTAGCAATAGATTTCAGGCGGCAACAGCTGGAGCATCATCAGTTGTGCTTCCTCTAGCTGAGGGGCTGGGATGTGCATTCTCAAGACTGCCACAACAATCCAGTGGGGAGAAAGGACAAAGGGTAATGATCAAAGAGAAAAAAAGGTATGAACTGATGAACTGATACCTTTAAGTAGATGAGAAGGATGATGTTTGGGACACCAGTAGAGGGACTGGCTCTGGCTGGGAGCGGGAAGGTTAACCCACAACAACCATCCATGTGGTAGAAGACCCAGCATGCAGTGCAGCTGCAAATGCATGAGCAGATGGAATCTGTGAAATTGTCTTCTAGTGTGTTCAGTTTTCTCAGTGAAGTAGGAAGCAAGGTCATCAGCTGAAGTAAGAATGCAGATAGAAGGTTGGATGTGTGAGCAGAGAGAAGGTGTGTGAGAGTCACCCAGACCAGTAGGAGGCTGAGGGTGAGCCATGCTTGGAGAGGGTGATTGCTGGTCGTGGTGGGGGGTCCCCATGAGGTTTGGGTCATGAAGTTAGAGAGAGAAGTCAGCATGCTGTGTGCTGCTTTCCAGCCTCCTTCAGCTCATGGGGGCAGGTGCAGTGTAGGCAGAGGTGGATTCCACCAGCTGTGTAGTTTTGCCAAACAAGTATGGCAACGCAAGGGAGGGGCAAGGGAGGGATGGAAATTATTTACAATAGAATTCAAAATGGCTGAAGAGGGAGGAGAGGACATCAAGGGTGAGGGACAGTGAGTAGATGGCAGGATCACTGGATTGGGAATCCCAGAGTGGGTGGAAGGATTGTTGGAATTGATGTACTACAGGGAAGACTCCAAGCCTGGAAAGCAGGCACATAGGCAATGAGTGGTTCACTGATATTACGTCACAGCATATGATAAAATGATAGTATAAGTATCCTCAGAGCCTGTGGCCTCCGTGCAAGGGGATGAGTGGAAAGATGGTCAGAGAATGGAAAGTGTGAGATAGAGAGTATGGAAGGGCTGGGGTTCTTGGCCATGATGAGACCTAGGACTCTTTAGGGGAGAACAACAACAAAGCAACAGGATCCTGGTGTCAGGGACAGACCATGGCCATGGCGGGATGATAGCAGCTCTCCTACGAAATAATGCTTATATGACAAGGGCATGAGATTCAGGCAGAGAGAGGAGAAGGTCATGGAGGAGAGGAGTCCCAGCATCTGAGAAGCCAGAGGGCGATGCATCCTCTCTGCTCTATGGGTGTTTATTGCTGCCATAAAAATTAACACAAAACAAGTGGCTTTAAACAGCATCTCTTTATCATGTCACAGTCATGTGTGTTACAATTTCAACAGTCTCATGGGGCTAAAATCAAGGTAAGGGGAGGTCTGTGTTCCTTCTGACTCTGAGGAAAAATCTACTGTCAAGCTCATTCAGGTTCTTGTCTGAATTCACTTCCTTGCAGATAGGACTGAGATCCCCACTTCCTTGCTGGCTCCTGTCCAGGGGCCACCCTTAGCTCCTAGAGCCCTCTCTCAGTTCCTCACACATATCCCATGCAACATATCCAATCCTCCTGCTTGGAACCTCTGACCTCCCCCTTCTGCGGTGTCTCCTCTGCCTTCCTCCTCTGCAGCATCTGACTCCAGCCAGAGCAGCTTCTCTGCTTTTAATGGCTTGTGAGATTTGATCGGGCCCACACAGATAGTCCAAAATAATCTTGCAATTTTAAGGTCCTTAATCTTCATCACATCAGTATTTTCCCTTTTGCCATGTAATGCAACCTACTCGTGGGTGCCCAGGATTGAGATTGGATGTCTTTGGGAACCATTACTCGGCCCATCACATCTGAGTATGTTGAAGTCACCGAGGATCAAGGAGACAGCACTGCTGGAGAGGGCGATAGTGAACCAGGAACTACAAGAGTCAGGACTGAGAGGAACGGCCTGGGGCCCACAGGGAATGGCTGCAATGAGGGGAGTGGGGCCTGAATCTGATGACAGCTTTGGGGGCTTAGGAAGGAAGGAGGCAGAAAGGTCTGAGAACCACAGTGAGGAGTGAGGATGCCACCCCACCTCTGGGCCAAGGGTACAAGGTCCCTGTGCAAACTCCCCCATGTGGGAGGACTTTGGAAGGGACCACATCCTCTGGCAGACACAGACATCGCTGGAGCTGTGAGGTCCAGGAACATCCTGAGACAGGATGTGGAGGTTTTGCTGATCATGGGCTGAGAATTCCAAGGGGCACAGCGGGAAGACTTCTGGATTTGGGAATGGGGTATGGGGAGACAAAATAGGGGTGTGCAGAGCCTTGTGGGGATGTGAATGCAGGGTGTTTGGGGGACCCAGTGTGACTGACACAAACAGGGAAAAGGCATGATGAGCTCAGTCCTGGTGGACTCAAGGCAGATGATGGTGCTGAGGCTGTGGGAGACGAGGGAGGAGGCTCAGGGGTGGCTTTCACCTGGGCTCTGTCCATGGAGGTGAGGACAGTGAGATAGTTGGGCCTCAGTGCTGTGTGGACCCTTTCTTGTCTCCCTGATGACTGGATGGAGGGCCTGGAGGAAGAGGGGTCTTAGAGGATTCACTCATGTCCCTGGGGGAGGGGGACTCACTCCAGGTCTCAGGTCTGCACTGACACATTTGTTTGTGGCTTGGGGCTGCCTGCTATAAACTATTGGGGGTTCGTCCATTTTGGAGTTATAACCTAAGGCAGAAACTCAGATGGTTCAAATGTCCTCTTCATGAAGCAATGTTATCAGCGTATAATTTAGATTGTCTTGCAAGAGTCTCATTTGTTGTTTTTCTAAATGCCTGCCAATATTGTTTGAAAATCTACAAATGTGATAAATGTATCTTCAAAGTTAACTGGTTGCAGGTTGTTTAACCTTATATGTACAGTTTCACATATGTATAAAAACAGTAGTTTGGGCCTCTTATATTCTAATAATTAAGACTTTAAGCTGTGTACACATTGCAATGCAAGTATGCGTCATGCATAACCCTAGCACTAAGAGTCAAGAGGGAAAGTACCTCTCCCCTAACATTTTACAAAGTTTCTGTGTTCTTTTTCCACTGAGTGGGAACAAGTCAGCTAGTGAGGAACATGAGGCCTTTGGCCTCATCTAAAGATACTTTAGCTACCAATTGTGAGAAGCACTGACCACCGGGAAGGCCTCCCTGCCTGGTTCCTGGACCTCTATACCATGGCAGAGGCCATCTTCCCTCCTAGTGCAGAGTGATGTCCCAGGTAGTGACCTGGTTAGCCATTGTCCACTCTCGGGCAGTTTTGCCTTCTAAGACATTGGTTTTTCTCTGAGGACCTCCCTGTTTTCAGATGATCAAAACTGGGGCCATCCACTCCCTTCTGAACCACCTCTGCCCAGTGGCCTGTGGCTGTGCCCCCAGTCACAACAGGACACCCCTTCAGAACACGCTGCAGGAAGCCGACATCTCTACACAGGCTCACACATGCACAGTGTGTGCACGGAGCTTTGGTTCTAGTTCAGGAAGAATGGGAGGAGGCTCACTAGTCCAACAGAGCTTGAGCCCTGTACCAGTGTCATATTCCAGGAGCCAGAGTTACAAGGGATACAAAGTGCCCAGACCTACCAGAGAAGGCAAACCCCTACAGCATGCAGGGCTAGACAGGGGCAAGAAACAAGGTCATTCTGGGCCAGCAAGAAGAGGGAAAGGGAAATTACAGTCATACTTCAGATATATGCAGGTTTGGCTCCAGACCATGGCAACAAAGCAAGTCACACAAATTTTTCAGTTTCCCAGTGCATATAAAAGTTATATTTACACTTGACTGTAGTCTCTTAAGTGTACAATAGCATTATGTACAAAATGAACTATGTACATACCTTAATGTAAAACTACTTTATTGCTAAAAAATGCTAACAATCACCTGAGGCTTCAGCTAATCCTAACCTTCTTGCTGTGGAGGGTCTTGCCTCAATGTTAATAATTGCTGACTGATCAGAAGGGTGGTTGCTGAAATCGCTGTGGCAATTTCTTAAAATAACACAACGAAGTTTGCAGCAAGATTATTCTCCTCACTTGGACACTTAGAGGCCATTGTAGGGTTACTAATCGGCCTGCCTTCAATATTTTTGTGTCTCACAGAATAGGGAAGGCCGGGAGAGAGAGAGAGAGTCAAGAAACCAGCCAGTTGGTGGAGAAGTCACAACATACACAACATTTATCAATAAGGTTCACCATTTTATAAGGGTGTGGGTCATGGTGTCCCAAAACAGTTACGAGAGTAACTTCAAAGATCACTGACCACAGGTCACCATACAGGTGTAATAATGAACAAGGTTGAAATACTTCAAGAATTACCAAAATGTGACACAGAGACATGAAGTGAGCACATGCTGTTGGAAAAATGGTGCCAAATAGACCTGCTTGACACAGGGTTGCCACAAACATTCGGTCTATAAATAAAAAAGCAAGAAAAAAGAAAGAAAGATGGAAAGAAAGAAAAAGCAAAGGAAAAAATGCAGTGTCAGCAAACAGTAATAAAGGAAAGCACAGTGGAAGGTGCACCTGCAAAGGGGAAATCAGCACTGAAGCAAAGTCAGGAAAAGCTTTCAAGTCAGATGGGCCTGGACCTGGGCATGAACCCTCCAGGTCCTCCCACCAGCCAGCTGAAGAGGCCTGAGCACATCTGACCCAGAGCTGGCCCCGACAGACACTTGCCCAGTGAGTGAGTGCTGAATGAAACCATCTGAGCCAGTTTCCTCATCTGCAAACCAGTGACATAATTCCTGCCTTGCAGAGTTTCAGAAGAATAAGTGAGAAAAGACACAGTGCCAAGAGAAACAGACACAAGACCTGTGGCGGGCTGGACACCAGGGCTCTAAAGCAAGTTCTGCCTAAACTGGCAAGAACATTTTTCAGGTCAGGAACAGGAGTTGTTCTGGATTCTGTCTGGGGTCAGGCTGGGAGGGAGCTGGGGGTGGCAGAGTAGGATGGGGGCAAGGGCTGTGGCAGGGCCTGGCACTGAAGTGAGGCCAAAGCCTGGAGAGAGTGGCTCCTGGTGGCTTTTGGGCAGCTCACGCAACTCCCTGCCTCACCCACTGTGTGAGTCAGCGTTCTCTAGAGGAGCAGAACTAATAGGATGTATGTACATATGTAAGGGAGTTTATTAAGGAGAATTGACTCACACGATCACAAGGTGAAGTCCCACGACAGACCGTCTGCAAGTTGAGGTGCAAGAAAGCCAGTGATGGATCAGTCCAAGTCCCAAAACCTCAAAAGTAGGGAAGCTGACAGTGCAGCCTTCAGTCTGTGGCCAAAGGTGTTTGGCTGCAGATTCCAGGACAGGACCTTCTTGTCCTCTGCAGTGACCCCCCACCTCGCCTGACTATATCTGTCCAACTTGATGGTGCCACCGAGGGTTCTGATGCAGGGAAGGAGCTGTGTGCTCTGTGTGGGAGGATGCCTTCTGCCTTTCTAGCTGGGCCTCAGGTCAGGGCTATGAGCCTGAGCAGGGAGAGGAGATGGAA
Organism: Homo sapiens; assembly: GCF_000001405.40. Lineage (NCBI taxonomy): Eukaryota > Metazoa > Chordata > Mammalia > Primates > Hominidae > Homo > Homo sapiens. Next base: position 2,816,955 of record NT_167247.2, read on the forward strand.
GGGAGATGGCCTTGGAGCAAACGTCTGCCCCTGCCAGTGCATCCCGTAGGTATCATCCCATCCACCAGTGCCTTGGCAGGACCCCACTCACTCAACCCTCCCCCTGGTGGTAGTCCCTGGTGGTGCCTCCTCAGGACCTCCTGCCTCCAGCCGCACAAATCCCCAAGAATGGCACGTGGGTACAAGGGTGTTGGGAAGTGTCATCCTCCAGTGCTGACTTGAGTGTGTGTGTGTGGCTGCACACGTGTGTGCATGTGTGCACAAGTGGGAATTGGAGTGTGTGTACACGTGTGTAAGTGTGAGTGTGAGAGTGGAGCATGAATGTGCAGGTGCCCACAGGCAGCAGTTGGGGTGCCAGTGTCCTCACTCCTGCCTGCTTTCCTTTCTCTCCAAAACGTGACCACACAGCAACTTAGTGACTATCTAGATTTAAGTCTATCAAACAGAAGGGAAACACAACTAGGATTCCTGTAGTGTAGGGAAGGGAAATGCCTAGCCCAGCTCTCTGATTCCCCTTTTAATGGGTTTGAGCTGCAATATGGGTGCAGAAGAGCCTCCCACAGCGCCACTGGTGGTGGAGGAAATAGCCCCTCTCATTGGCCCATTTTCACGCTGCTGATAAAGACATACTGGGAAGAAAAAGAGGTTTAATTGGACTTACAATTCCACATGGCTGGGGAGGCCTCAGAATCATGGCGGCAGGTGAAAGGCACTTCTTACATGGCAGTGGCAAGAGAAAATGAGGAGGAAGCAAAAGCGGAAACCCCTGATAAACCCATTAGATCTCGTGAGACTATCACAAGAATACCACGGGAAAAACTGGCCCCAGTGATTCAGTTACCTCCCCCTGGGTCCCTCCCACAACATGTGGGAATTCTGGGAGATACCATTCAAGTTGAGATTCGAATGGGGACACAGCCAAACCGTATCACTGGATGAGAGCAATTAGATTGATGTCATGATGTATATGGGTCCATGGGAACTTGAAAAAGTCTTCCCCTTCCACCTAGTTTAACAAGATAAACAGGAAAGGAACTTCCCTTAAGGGAAGATATTGACTCTATCCCTGAAATTAAATCACAAGAAAATAAGAAATGCATGAGATCTAAACTAAGCCATTTGGGTAAACTGTCTCAGAATTTAAAGCATCAGCAGTCACAAGCTATCAGTATCAGTGACGATTCTTTCACTCCATGGTCTAGTCCAACGAGACTGGTCAGGGCTTGCCGCCTGCTCCTCGGTGCTGTCCTGGTACTTTGAAAGTATCTGTGATTCTGTGAACTGCACCCCCAGCTGCCCAACAACTTCCCTTTGCTGATCTGAGCCAGACTCTGCTTTTATGGCTTACACCCAAATAATTCAAGTTATTTTAAAAAAATAATAATAAATCAAGTTATTCATTTATGAGTTATACAGTCCCATGTGGGGAAAGGGAAGGAGAGTGAGGTAATACTCAATTTTACTACCTGCTATGCATTTATAAGTGAGATACTTCTTTTTAAAGTCATATTTTTGGATTAGAACAAACTCTGGTATATTTAAGTAAATTCCCTGAAGAATGTGAACACCGTAAGCAGGTGAGTGCATTATTCTCTGCTTCCCCTCCACAGAGCTGTGGTTCACTCTCCTCCATCCTGCCCCCTGCACTGGGGGCACCACAGAGACAGCACGGCCTGTGCTCCTGCACCACCTGCTTCTGCTTGGGTGTGGATGATAACAGGCACCTGCAGGAGATGGGAGCGTGGGGGGAGAAGTAACTCAGGGTTTTCACTTCCCTCACTCCCTTTGGACAGCTCTGCGGTTCTGTAATCATTGCCGTCCTCTACCTACAGCCACAGGCCTGCGGGGCTGCCCCTAGTGAAAGCTACAGATTTCCGTGAGTTCTGGAAACTGCTCCCTCTTCCTTGTTCTTTCAACTCAGAGATGGAAACAGTTTCCTGCCACTGATCATCCCAGGGAGCTTCAGCACCCCTTGTGGCTTTCTTAGGCCTGCCAGCACCTCTGTAATGTGTGTCTTCTTTCTTTGTCATCTCTTTCCTGCCAGGACCCTGACTGTCCCACAGAAGAAGTGACAAGAATTTATTTATGACATGACAATAACACATGTATTCATGGTGTTAATTCGATTTGTTTCATAGAGACAGCGTCTTGCTATGTTGCCCAGGCTGGTCTTCAACTCCTGGCCTCAAGCAATCCCCCTGACTTGGCCTTCCAAAGTGCTAGCATTACAGGTGTGAGCCATTGTGCCCAGCCCTTAACTTGAAAATCTGACAGTATAATAAAAGAAAAAAATAGAAGTATTCTGGAAATGGAAGAGGAAAGAAGGCTAAGGTGGAAATCATCAATCTGTGTCATCTGAGAAGCCCCACGTGCAGAGGCTGTCCCGGGACTTTAGGGGAGAACAAAAACAAAGCACCCAGGATCCTGGTGTCAGGGACAGAGCATGGCCACGGCGGAATGGTAGTGGCTCTCCTATGAAATAATGCTCATAAACATCCCTTGTGAGAAGGATCAGATCAACATATAAAAATATGCCAAATAAAGTGAAACTCAAGGCAGGAGTGGGACTGGCCATTCTCAGCCCGCGACCTCCATGGACTTGGAGAAAGGCTCAGCCTGGAGATGTGTGAGGCCTCCGACCTGGAGCAGCACCCGCCCCTAAAGACCAGGCACAAATCCCAGCACATGGAGGGATCCAGACAAATACACAAGAGATGACCACAGCAGGAGCTTTACTGAGCACAGAGCGAGGCCGCACACCACTCAGCTCCTGCCCCTCCACCTGCCCTTCTCTCCCCACCTGCCCCTGCCCCAGCACAGCAGATCCTCAGAATCCAAAAAGAGAACCTAACTTCCATGTTTTATTAATGGCTTATAATATTTTATCACATCTTCAGAAAACACTATGCAGAAGATAACTGTAGAGCAAGACATCTATTTAGGGTGAGTGAGTCACAGTGGAGATCTGGGAGGGAGACCCTGTAACCCTTTCATTCCAAGAAAAGAAAGGTCGATCCAAAGAAGGGGACCCCAGGCCTGGATATTGGGATTACATGAAAGGGGTTCTGGGGCATCAGGGGAATGGGTCCCTCTCCCTACATCCTCCCGGGGCTGTGCTTGGGAGGACAGCAGCTGGGGGAAGAAAAGTCGGGGTCCACAGAGATATAAGGGGGCTGAGAACTATCTGTGTCTTGCTTCTTGCTGGTCTGCACAAGGCAGCTCTCAAACTGTGGAGAACATGGTAATGACCAGATCCCGCTCAGCCGCTCTCAGCCTTTACACCTAGAGCATTATGGGCAGCCCATCACCATCCCCTACCTTCAAATCCAAAGATCCGTACAGCCCAAAGCTGCTCCCTGGCCTCAACTCCTGTTGGCATCAGGCCCCAAGGAAGCTGTGAGCACGTCTGCCTGGGACCCTGTCACCATCTGGAGAATGACAATAAAGGGGACCCAGCAGCCTGCAGGAGGCTGTATTTGAGGCAGGACCATGGGATGGGTGAGGCACAGGACTGTGGCTCCATCCTCTCTATTTGAGGAGTTAGAGATGAGCTGCCTCTGCCACCCCTTCCATGGTGATATTTCTAGAGTACACCCCTGTGCTGAAATTCTTATGAGGAAAGAGACCTGATGAGATGCTATGGTGAAGAGGGGCCATAAGGGTCTTGAATACCAAGTTAATTTTGCTACCAGCTGAGATTAGGAAGTGAAGCCCAGGACCCAGGAGAGGAGGAGGAGGAGATAACACAGGACCCTGTGATCACTCTCCTGGCCATCTGTGTACAGTGAGACGCTTCCCTTCGGGGTTGGGAGCACCCAGTGTCATGGTCCTGAGTGTTGCTACCCTGCTGTTCTCATCTGTGAATGCAGCCAGACCACTTTCTTCCTCTGATATAAATAACTTGGAGGATCTGTCACCAGACACCTCATATCTACATATTAATAAATTCTGTACGGTGGTTTGGCTTAATGTTTTATATGTTATAAGAAATAAGCAAAACATAGGGATGATATTTTTAGTAAAGGTATTTCAGGGTATATGAGAATCAGATTCCTAGGGCCCTGTGTACCTCATCTTGCTGTTTAAAGTCCTCATGGAGGATCAGTGGAGTGCAGAGCCCAGAAATCATCCTGAAGGCTGAAGCTCCCTGGTGAAAAGGACCCTCTCCTGCACCCTGGGGCTCAGAGGGAACAACAAAGCTCCCTCCCAGGGTCTCCAGCCTCTGGCCTATACTGTCAGCCTGCACTTTGTTGGCCTTCCTGGCTGCTAATATTCCAGTTCCCAGCAGCCTCCTCTCTCACCCTTCACCTCTTCTGACTGGGTGCGAATGGTAACTAGACCAGGCAGTGCCCTCCTTGTCAGTCTGCCTGTCTGCCTGGTTCCCTCTCAGAGTTTGTGTCTTCACTCGGTTCATCATCCCCAGCCCCAGCAGGAACAGGGAGAAGTGACTTGGCAAATGCCCCACTCAAAATGGGATCCCTCAACCAGAGACCACTTGTGAAAGTCAGTTTTCCCTGACTAAAGAAACAGGACATTTACCCTGTTAGAAGTTGATGTCTGCCAGAGACCTCCACCTGGGAAATGCTGGTTCATGGCAGGGTCTCTCTTTTAGTAAAGGGAAAAATTCCTGGCTAATTGATAGCTAATAAGTCATTTAGAATCCAGTTCATGTAAAAGGATTACCTACTTAAAGGATTAACTCCATTATAATAAGGACACACATCCCACACCGCACATCCAATGTCATTTGTGAGATTGCTTTGATTCGCTCATGTAGAATGTTACTCTGCTGCTTTGCAGAGAGGCTTGCCACACATTTCAAATCTCTGCTCCTCATTTCACACCATCTGGCTCATGAGGTGAAGGTGATGAGAAGTGTCTTCAGACAATACTCCGAGGTTTGTCTATCAGAGTCATAGTCATATATTACATATAGAGATTATTTTCTTAGAAGTTGTAATTTATTGATATGTATTTTACTCATGGCATAGATAGATACTATCCAACAATTCGTTTTTATTACCTCTACATTACACTGCTTAGGTAGCCACTACTGGTACCTCTGCATTTTCTTTCTTGTATGTGACATTAATGTATAAGATTGTATGTACATGGTGGCTTGGTTTCCAGGAATTGCTGATTAGGTAATTTAGACCATTCCTTCCACTGAGTACAATGGGAAAAGGAGGAAAACATACATATTTGAAAAATCTGGTTGAGCAAATGGATGGGCTAACAAAGCAGTGAAGATTTGCCTGGCCAGGAACCAGGAGAGGGGAGAAATCCAGAAGAGCAACTTGAGCTGTGGGGCTGCTTTTGTGGATCAGAGGCAGTAACACCTGCTCCCTGGCCAGAAGCCAACTTCCAGGATTCAGGACTCAGAATTCAGAACTTAGACGGTCCCTTGGTCTCTCTAGAATTCAGTGCTCATTTAGACCGGGCTAAGACCCTCACACTCAATGGCTGGAGGATCCAAGCTTATGGCATGACTGCCTCTGGAGCATTTCATGCTAGAGAGATCCCAACAGGTGTAGGTAAATGGTCTAGAGGGTACTAGCCGGGCTTCCATGGAACTCTGTGTAAGGCACTTCCCTGTGTTGTTACTCATGTTGGCCATGTCCTCGGGAATTTAGTGGAACGGCCATGTCGTCTTGAGTGGAAGTGAGGACGGTGAGGTGGTCCCTGGGCAGTCAGAGATTTTGTGTCCCTGCGTCCTTTCCTTCCATCTCAACCAGAGACCACTTGTGAAAGCCCAAGAACAAATGTCATTAAATGTCTGAGGCGAATCCAAGACCACCGATCCATTGCGCCCAGGAGCCTTGGGCCATGTAGCCCAGCAGTAGTGAGGTCTGTGAGGCCTTGGTCACCCCCAAAGTGTTGCCCCAAGAGGAGCTGCCGCTCGTTGCCATCAGGCACCTCAGGAGCTGGACATGGTATTCATTATAATTTCTGATGAGGAACTAGAGAGGTCTCATAGCATATAGACCTTGATCAAATTGGGTCATGGTGGAGTCAGGCAAAACTCTGCAATGACTCACAGGTACCTAAGTATAAAACAAAGTCTCAACTCAGAGCATCCATCAGAGCTTCAGGCTCAGTAGTCATTCCTTTATGCTGTTGCTGTGTTTGTACTGTGATAACTGGTGCTTGAAGGGAGGACATATAGTTACATGTTGCGGGAAAACACATGTCATTAGAAAACTTGGCATGATTTAGGGACCATTGCCTTTTCCATGGTAGATGTGGGACTCTCTGTCATCTTCACCCTGTTGTTCCAAGTGCAGAAGAGAGAGCTTCTTCCTGCTTTCAGCTGCGTGACTGACAACGGAAGCTGGAATTCAGAGAATCAGTGGCAGCCTCTGTCTCTCCAGGCCCCAACCCTGCAGGTTTAAGGAATGGACTTAGGTCTCTGGCACTTTGTTCTCAACACACATTTTCCTTCACTCATTCAGAAAAAAAATAATAATAATAGAAAATGAACCAAAGGCTGCAATTCTCATGGCACCTAGAGAACTGGAGTACGGACCAAGGTTGCCACATGCCTGTCATTGCTCCACCACACTCGGTTGCCGTGTGACCTCGGGAGAAGCTCTCTACCACTAGGGACTTTTAAACTCATCTGTGAATCCTGGATAAACACAGACATTCCGGTAACCTTACTGAAATGAAGTGAGGACCAATGAGTTGACAGGTGGAGAAAATTTTTTTTTTTTTTTTTTTGAGACAGAGTCTTGCTCTGTCACCCAGGCTGGAGTGCAGTGGAGCGATTTCGGCTCACTGAAAGCTCCACCTCCTGGGTTCATGCCATTCTCCTGCCTCAGCCTACCGAGTAGCTGGGACTACAGGCGCTCACCACCACACTCGGCTAATTTTTTGTATTTTTAGTGGAGACGGGGTTTCACCATGTTAGCCAGGATGGTCTCGATCTCCTGACCTCGTGATCCGCCCGCCTTGGCCTCCCAAAGTGCTGGGATTACAAGCGTGAGCCTCCGCGCCCGGCCGCAGAAACAGAAAAATTTAGGTGATGGCCTTTACTCCTAGACAGGGCTTTTTTAGGAACATGCACCTTAAAAGTAGGAGGAAAACATAATGCCAGCAACACCCTGCCTAAAAGCCCCTTTAGTGATGATAATTATCATTCATCTTTCTATAAAAGCACAGCAAGACTTTCTACCTCAATATCTCAAATCAGTTAAATATATCTTCTGATCATATACCAGTGTGGACCCACATGTTTTGCTCCAAGTGAAAATGAAAAGGAATGAGAACATCTCCACCTTTGTGTGGTGACCATGGGACCACGGAGGCTTGGAAGCCAGCCTACATCTGCCCAAACTCTACATCACCTGCCATTGTCAATTTTCAATCTATCCGTTCTATGCTTTGGAATCCTACATAATTCATACTCTTGAAAAATCTCATTTTCATATGTAGGGCAGGGTAGAAAAGGTGATATCTCTGTTTTAATTTGCTAAGACTTCCATAATAAAGTGGCACAGACTGGGTAAGTTAAACAGTAGAAATGTATTATCTCCCAGTTCTGGAGGCTACAGGTCCACGATGGAATGTATTGCAGGGCTGACTGCTCCTGAGGCCTGTCTCTGGCTTACAGATGGCCATCTTCTCCCTCTATCTTGTCAACATTGGCCTCAAAATATGTGTACAGGGACACAGTTTAGCCCATAAGAGTCTGCGCCATCCTTGGCGGTGCATATTATAAGAAATAAAAGAGAATACAACCCTTTGGCTGGACTCTGTTGATATTTTGAAATGTTGGTCTTGCAATAAGAACACCACCAAAGGCCAGGCGCAGTGGCTCACGCCTGTAATCCCAGCACTTTAGGAGGCCGAGGCGGGCGGATCACGAGGTCAGGAGATCGAGACTACCCTGGCTAACACGGTGAAACCCCTTCTCTACTAAAAATACAAAAAGAAAAATTAGCCAGGCGTGGTGGTGGGTGCCTGTAGTCCCAGCTGCTCCGGAGGCTGAGGCGGGAGAATGGTGTGAACCCAGGAGGCAGAGCTTGCAGTGAGCCAAGATCTCGCCACTGCACTCCAGCCTGGGCAACAGACCAAGACTCCATCTCAAAAAAAAAAAAAAAAAAAAAAAAAGAACACTACCAAAACAAGGGAGCCGAAGTTTAGTTTTCCCTGGAAAGTGAGCACTCCCTGAGCCTGGCCGCCCCAGGGCAGCAAGACCCAGTGCTATGTAGTTCTCCAAAGTCCTATTTACTTTAGTGATTCTGATTCTGTATTTTTAACTGGGAAAAGGATTCTCTTTCAGGAAAGCAACCACTTCTGATGCTATTTAGGTATTATTCTCCTTATACTTATAGGAGAAAAAATTGATGTTAATGAACAGGAAATATTTGCCAAATTATCACACAAATAATTTTTGTATCATTTTAAAATACTCCTTATTGTACTGAGCTTGTTGGTATTTTAATAAAAATTATTGGCACATAATATTTATACATACTTTGGGGTACACATAATATTTTCATGCATGTGTAGAATGTGAAATGATTGAGTCAGGATATTTAGGATACTCATCACCTCAAGCATTTATCAGTTATTTGTGTTGGGTGAATTTCAAATCCACTCTTATAGCTATTGTGAAATACACAATACATTGTTGTTAACTACAGCCAGCCTGCTGTGCTATCGAATATTAGAATTTATTCCTCCTATTTAACTGTATCTTTGTACCCATTAAGCTACCTCGTTTTATCTCCCAGATCCCCCACACACCCTTCCCAGCTTCTGGTAACTATTATTCTGCTCTCCACCTCCATAAGATCAACTTTTTTTCAGTCCTCACATGTGAGTGAGAACATGTGATATTTGTCTTTCTTTGCCTGGTCTATTTCACTTAACATACTGACCTCCAGTTCCATCCATGTTGCTGCTAGTTATTATGAGGTAGTTCTAGCTGGAAGAATAGAGAATTAAAAGAAATCTTTGTGAAGCCCCTACCCAGGTTTGTCAATTTGTAACATTTTAATATTATTGGCTATATGTAGTATACATAGAAAATAATAGAAATATATGCAGATAGCCCTGATTCTCCACAGTTCTGTTATGTATGTGTTTCCACTGAAACACATACAGTACAGTACTCTATGTACTGTACAGTACTACTGTACTGAGTACTGGACTGCCAGTGGGGAGAGGCGGATGTCTTGAATTTGGTGAATGCCTTTATATTGTTACAAAGTGTTTTTTTTTTTTTGGTTGTTTGTTTTGAGACGGAGTCTCGCTCTGTCGTCCAGGCTGGAGTGCAGTGGCGCGATCTCGGCTCGCTGCAAGCTCCGCCTCCCGGGTTCACGCCATTCTCCTACCTCAGCCTCCCAAGTAGCTGGGACTACAGGAGCCCACCACCACGACCGGCTAATTTTTTTGTATTTTTAGTAGAGACGGGGTTTCACTGTGTTAGCCAGGGTGGTCTCGGTCTCCTGACCTCGTGATCCGCCCGCCTCAGCCTCCCAATGTGCTGGCGTGAGCCACCGCGCCCGGGCTACAAAGTTTTTTAAATCCTTTCGTTTGACATGATTTTAGACTTTGTAAAAATTGTTTTTTGTTGAATGTATCATTCTGTGGCTTGCTTTATCGTTTAATATGGTCTATGAGGTGAACCCACACACCCATAGAAACAGTTCATTTGTTTTCAGTGCTGGATAGTATTTATGAGAGGAATATCCCACAATTTATCTCTTCTCCTGTCAGCGACCTTTAGCTTGTTTCTGTTACAGACACTGCCACAATGAACATCCTGGGTCATCTCTCTCTGGTCCCCTGTGTGAGTTCCCCAAGATACGGATGTAGGAATGGGATTACTGTGCTTTTACCATGTGATGTTATAGGATGTCAAATTGTTCTCTGAAGAGGTTGTATCAACTCCCCCCTTTAAAATCTTCTTTGATATTTTACAGGTCAAGTTATCTTCCTCCCCAACTAGCTGCTCCGCCTCAGTCCCCCTTCATTGGCTCCTTTTGCTGTAGATGCTGGAGCACTGTGGGGTTTTACTGCCTCCCAATCACTCTAGTGTCCTCCACTCCCAGGATTTTAAATATCGTCTAGACACAGATGGCTCCCAAATATATATCTCTACATATTTCTATAATCAAAAAACTAATGGTACCAAAACAGGTACTCTGATATATTGCAGATGGGCCTGCAAACTGGAAATGTTTTCAGGAAAGGCAGTACGGCAATTTCTGTCTAAATTAAAAATGCATACACCCAGTAGTCCCACTTCTAGAAATGTGTCCAAAAATACACCTGCATTCCTGAAAAATGACTGTATTCAGAATTATATGTTGCAACCCTGTTTGTAAAATCAAAAAGGAAAGAAGAAAGAAAATGAAAGATAAAAGAAAAAATAATCCAAATATCTGTCACTAGCGGACTAGTTAAAAAAGCATTGCAAGCTGGGCACAGTAGCATTCACCTGTGAATACACTCTACTCCACTCTGGGTAACATGAGGAGGCCTCCCTACCTTCCTAAGAAAACCCAAACAAGCACTGCATATCTACACGGCAGAGTCTACAAACATTTAACACAAAAGAAGAAAGACATAGGAAACTCTTGATATTCCCTCATGGGATGGTCTCCATGATACATTGTTAAGAAGAAATAAAGCAAGGTGTAGAATAACATATAGAGTCTGCTAAAATTTGTGTGAAAAGGGACAAAGAGATATATATACACATTTATATTTGCTTGCATATGCATAAAATATATTTGGAAGAATAAGCAAGAAGATATCCCTGGTTGCCTGTTGGGGATGAGACAGGGTAAGAAAGAGACATTTTACCTTTTGAACATTTTGAATTTTGAATTTTGAACTATATCAAGAAATAAAAGATAATTCCTAGGGCAACCAAATAAACCCCAAAAAAATTCAAAATGAAAAACCTTTTAAAAACTAATAGAATTTTTTTACCTTTATTAAAATAAATTTTAAAAATTTTCTAAATATTATATTATTCCTTTAACAAGGAGGTTTACCGCCATTTTAATTCAGTACGTTGTTTTCTTTTTAATTGCATGATCTTTCTTTACATCTATCTTTTTTCCATTACAAGGTAAAATAACAGCATGATTAATTAAATGCAGTTTGTTTGGTGAAGGAAATTTTGTTCAAATCTTGGTCTAAGTGGGAAAGGGATTCTAGGGGATCCAGTGCAGCAGTTATGGGTTTCAGTATGCTCACGACGCCCTCTAGTGTTTGTGTGGGCTCATGGATGCCATATCTAGAAAACACTGGAATTCTCAAGCACACGTGACTGAAGCCATTTGCCAAATGTTCAAGGTCCTATTAATGGCCCATCTGAGTACTTGTCATACGCGGTCACCCTATCTTTGGATCAGAAGGTACACTCAGAGCTCCTAGTGTCACATCCCAGGCCCAACCTGCTGAGATTAGTCGAGGAAGGTCTGGAGGTCAGTGTCGTGAGGGGTGGGAAGACTGAGGGTGTGGGGGCCAGTTGTGGAGTGGCGGGAGCCCCAGGTGCTGTATGAAGCCGAGCCTCTGGATCACCCTGTGACCCCACATTTGGTCCCTTCCTGGGTGTCTTCCATTCCCAGGACTCCCAGGAAATAAAATGCTGCAAGATTGGGGTGGGGAGCTGTCCAGGGTGGGTCAGGTGTGGTCTCACTGATCCTACACCTCTGCCTCCCAGCCCACTCCCAGCCCTCTTCTGATATTAGAAACCAACACAGATTGCCTTAGGGTGGTGGTTCTCAAAGTGTGGTCCTGGGGGAAGCAGCATTGGCATCACCTGGGAACTTAGATATGCAATCTTCAGGGCCTGGCCTGGACCTACTGTATCAGAAACTCTGCATTTAACAAGCCCCCAGCAGAATTCTGCTTTTCAAATCAGATCTCTCTCTCTCTCTCTCTCTCTCTCTCTCTCTGTTTCAAGTCTCAATATTGAGTAGCTGTGACTTCTGGATAGTCAGGTGTCAGACACCCTTTCTTGCCAGGAGGCACCAGGCTCCTCAATCAGCTTAGTCTCATTCTTGGCCTGGCCCAGGGAAAGATGTTCACTTCCTGGATTCTGAGCAAAGCTCTCCTATCCTGGGTGCCTGTGGGGCTCCCACTTACACCACAAAACAAAGCTCAAATAATATTTTTTCTTTTATGAGATTTTTGGTATTCCTTCATTAGTCAGAGCTGAAGATCTACATATATGTCTACCAAGCAAGTGTGCATGTCCCACTAGCCAGTTTGTTAGTCTTGCCAATGCACCACAACGTAGCAGCCTCTCAGTCTCTCCTTGTGAGGTGTTACCTGGAGTTCTTTGTCTCACCACCAAGAGAATTAAGGAGCGTGGATACAAAGGGTGAGGTTGGAGCAAAAGTTTAATAAGCAAAAGAAGAAAGCTCTCCCCCACGGAGAGGGGGCTTGGAAGATGGTTGCCATTTTTACAGCTGAATGTAAAGGCTTTTACAAGAAACTGATGAGGGCTGGGTGTCTCATTTGCATAAGGCACAAATTTCCGGTAGCTCCACCCCATCCTCCTAGTGCCCATGCAGGCGCTTAGCTTGAGTTACTCCATATTGCTTTGTTTCCCTGACTGCCCATGTATCGGGGGACAGAATTTTCCATTGCGGGCATGTCTGGACAAGTCTCCTGTGCAGCCTTTCTTATTTGTGCAGCTGTGGGCATGTCTTAGGCAAGCCCCCCTGTGCAAGTTCCCTTCTCTGTGCCTGCAGGCCGTTCTTTTGTTTGAAATAATTCAACTGAGGACCCACCATAACTGCCCGCCTGACCAGTTTCTTCCTTTTTTCTCTCTCAATTTGTGTTATAATTTCCTTACTGATCTCTGCCTGAGCAAGACTGGGCATGCCTTGAGGGCAAGGAGGGTTTATTTCCTCTTACCTCAGTCCCAGCTCCTCTTAAAACAACGCCCCGCGCACAGTAGGTATTTGATAAATGTTTACCAAATGAAGGGATTGCCTGCAGTGGCTTGGCAGACAGGAAAGCAGAATGAAAACCCACAGGCCAAAAGTGGCTGGGAAAAGATTTTCCAAATCCTAGTGCTGGGCACAGGGCCCACTGAAATTCACTTTCGGAACCTTCCCATCTGTCTCGTTCTCCTCTCATCAGGATAGAGCCCACCTAGTCACACACTACCTTTCAGGACCACCTTCCAGATCAGCCAGGTACAAATCCCACCGACTTCCTGCCTGTGGCTCCAAATGCTCAGCTGAAATTCTGAGGCTAATTTCAGTGGAGTTAGAGGCTTATCCCTTAGGAGTGGCAATGGCTGGCTTTAAGATTCGAGAAGTAGTGTTTACATCTCAAAAGAGAAGACTGCTCCACCAGAAATGCAGAGTTTTGGTATATGCAGGTCCGGGGTCTTCAGGAGATAAAGAATGATAGCTCCAGGAGCGCTGGGACCCCCGTGCAGCCACCAGTCACCACAGCCTAGGCAGGGGTTGGGCTCTCACCTCGGCCCCTCCTCTGCACGCCCTGGATGTGGATGGTCCCCGAGTGTGAACTCGCCTGGGCTCTGACCCTGGGTGCTCTTCCCGCCGTTGTGGAGCCTCTGCGGGTGTGGTGCATGCACAGGGGGCTTCACAGGAGACCCGGGGCCCTTTAGAGTCTCAAGGTCAACATTCTTGGAGAATCCATGTCAGGCATTCAGGCTCTCAGGGACTCAGATGCCCAAACTATGAAAATGAGGGAATCTATCCCACTCTCTCAGGTGTGGTGAGATTCCTATTATATGACTATCGGTCATCTATACATGGATTGTACTCTCAGAGTTGCCTTTATCAGTCGGCCAATGCCTAAAACCCAAAGATGGGTCAGGCATGGTGGAGGAAGAGTTCCTTTCTTACCTTCTGAAGGTGCCATCAACAGGAATTTCTACCCTGTGGAGTCTAGAGGAGACTTTCCTTGAAGCTGAGTTGGGAATGGACATTTGGACTTTTTTTTTTTAAGAGTTAGTAACTCCGTGGAGAACCACACATTTATTTGCTTACTTTAATTCTACAGCAACATTCGAGGTGGCTTACTGCAACAAACCCAGTGTAATAAATACATACGAATTACTTTAAAATCAACACCAAGGAAAATATACATTTTAAAAGATTAAGGCTGGGGTAAAGCTGGAACATTACTAGGCGGGAAGGAACATCTGAAACATTTGCTGAAATGGAGTTGACCCTTTACCTAGCCATAGATTTGTTGCCTCACAATTTCATTGCATCTGAGCACCAGGGAGGGGGGTGGCAGTTCAGGTCACCAGTCCCTTGTTTCCTGATTCAGGATCAGTGTCCTGTTCTACACTTACAGTCAAAGCAAATTACATCGTTGTAAGATGTTTAATGATGAAGTCAAAGTCCACAGAGTCAGCAAGTAAGTGTAAAAACCTCAGGAGTCCAAGGACAGTCTACGTTTCTCCCCAGAAATGGCTTCACTATGCACTGTTGAAGGGAGAGGGTCCTTTCAAGGGGCCCCAAGATGCAGGAGCAATTGGGCTGCAGCTCTAAATAAAGATGTCCTTTCTACCTGCAGATTCCACAAAACCTCACAGGCAAATTTGGTGATCTCACCTGAGCTAGGAATTCGATTTTTTGATATTGGTTCTCTTTGAGCCATTGTGTGAGCTTTAAAATGTGACATGGAGATTTTGCTATACTGGTATTTCCTTGCTGGAATTTGACATCCACAGTGGCTCTGGCTTCCCTGTCTGGTCCCAGGAGGAAATGGAGTGTCCTACACTTTTTTTCAGCATCGCTTTGTGTAAGAAGGATCAGGAGACTTGGAGTCAGGGGCTCCTCCAATCTCACTCTCCTTCATAAAACAGTGTCCCTTAAGCTTTCTGGGGGTGAGGGCCTTGACACCGTGCTGTTCTGATGAATATAATTGTCCCAGCTCCCGAAATAAAAGCACAGGTGCACAAAATACCGACTGTTGCAAGCAATGCCAAGGTGGGGATGTTTCCTAGGTGCCAGGTTTAGCACTTTGACTTTGTATGTACACACACAGGGGCCAGGCGTTGTGGTTTATGCCCGTAATCTCAGCACTTTGGGAGGCTGAGGCATGAGAATTGCTTGAAGCCAGAAGTTCAAGACCAGCATGAGTAACAAAGCAAGACCCAGTCTCTACAAAAAAAAAAAAAAAAAAGAAAAGAAAAGAAAAAAATACACACACACACACACACACACACACACACTGGGTGTGGTGGCTCCACTCTGTAGTCCCAGCTACTCGAGAAGCTGAGGTGGGAGGATTGCCTGAATCCAGGAGTTGGAGCCTGCAATGAGCTGTGATCGGGACACTGCTCTAGCTTAGTGAGACCCTGTCTCAAAAACAAACAAACAAAACAAAACAAAATACATACACACACACAGCCAGAGCCAGCACTGAGGGAGAGGCTGGTCTCAGGGGTGGGGTCACAGGCATTTCTCAGGTCCCTCTCAGTGGTCTTTGTCTCTTTTTCCTGGAGGTGGAGGAGTCTGTACTTCATGAGGAGAAGTCCTCTGAAGAAGGCGGGAGATACTCAGGAGCGGGGTCCAGAGAGGGAAAAGGATGAGGAAGTGGAGACAAAGTGGAGGGGGCAGGGCAAGAAGGGCACATGTGAGGAATGGGGAGGGGGAGGACCTTCCAGCTGTCAGAAAGGTCCCACGCAGAATTTGGCTCTTGGTTTTTCTGCTTTATCAGGATGGATTTGGGAAACCAGCCAGAGTGGGAGATAAGGAGTCTACTTTGCAAAGGACACGTGTGAGTCTCCTCCTAGTTTGAACTCATGAGTAGCAGCTGACAGCCAGGACCCTTGTGTGGGGCGCGTGACGCCCCTTTGCAACCAGGGCGTTTTCTGCACCCCACCAGCCATCCCTCCTGGGACCACGCTGGTTCCCTCCAACCCTAACAGGGAGAGAAGGAAGGAGAGGTCTGGAGGCTTTGGGTCCTCCCTCGTGCTCCTTCTTCCTCTGCCATTTATTCCCTGAGTGTCCTTGACTTTCCTCCGCTACCCGGACCCCACTACAGCAAAGCACATCCTGCACACTGGCCTGGACTCCCTTTGTAACCACCCAGTGTGTTCACCTTGCTGACTGCCTAGACAAAGCCGATTTATCAAGGCAGGGGAATTACAATAGAGAAAGAGTAATTCATGCAGAGCCGGCCGTGCGGGAGACCAGAGTTTTATTACTCAAATCAGTCTCCCCGAAAACTCTAATCAGTTTTTAAGGATAATTTGGTGGATGGGGGGGCCGGTGAATCAGGAGTGCTGATTGGTTGGCTCCGGTATGAAATCATAGTGAGTGGAGGCTGTTCTCTTAGGCTGAGTCAGTTCCTGAGTGGGGGGCCACAGGACTGGTTGGCAGGTCCAGATGGGGTCCTCCAGTTGTTAGAAATGCAAAAACCTGGCCTGGCGTGGTGGCTCACGCCTGTAATCCCAGCACTTTGGGAGCCCGAGGCGGGCGGATCACGAGGTCAGGAGATCGAGACCATCCTTGCTAACACGGTGAAACCCCGTCTCTACTAAAAATACAAAAAAATTAGCCGGGTATGGTGGCGGGAGCCTGTAGTCCCAGCTACTCAGTAGGCTGAGGAAGGAGAATGGCGTGAACCCGGGAGGCAGAGCTTGCAGTGAGCCGAGATCGCGCCACTGCACTCCAGCCTGGGCGACAGAGCGAGACTCCGTCTCAAAAAAAAAAAAAAAAAGGAAGAAAAAGAAAAAAGAAATGCAAAAGACATCTCAAAAGGCCGCTCTGAGGTTCACAATAGTGATGTTACCTTCAAGAGTAACTGGGGAAGTTGCAAATCTTATGACCTCCGGAATAATGGCTGGTAATATTCAGAATTCCAGCCCCTCTCATCCTAACTTAATGGCTGGCGGCGTTTCATTCGTTTTAAAAGAACACTTTCCCTTTAAACTATAAATTCCTTCCCAAGGCTAGTACGGCCTATGCCCAGAAATGAACAAGGGCAGGTTAGCGGTTAGAAACAAGATAGGGTGAGTTAGGTTTGATGTCTTTCACTGTCATCATTTCCTTACTTATAATTTTGCAAAGGCGGTTTCACCTTGGCTTCAGCCCCACCCATGCAGTAACACTGTGCCCTGTCCTTCCAACCACTGCCACTAGGTGAAAGCAGAGAGAGCATCGCCCAGATGGGCTAGATTCTCACAGGCTCACTGCTAGAACGAACATTCTTGAGACTTTAGATCTAAGTCAGCCTGATTTCTGAAAGCCTTGGACCGTTTCCAAAATCAAATCAATACTCCAGGAACAAGATCTGCCTCGACTTTGTCTCCACCCAAGGACGCTATGGCAACGCAGTTTTCAAACGTGCTTTGAGAATAAATGGAACAGGGTCCCCTGTGTCCCCACTCATTTGCGTTTTCCTTTTTATTACAGCCAACCGCTTTTGTAAATATTGTTACATATCTCTCTATTCCACTGAAAACATCTCTTTCAAATGCACTTTAAGAAAGATTCAATGACATGAAAATATGAAGGATCCTCTTGAAAGAGTTTCTGGTGCTGGGTTTTAAAGAACGTTTTGGTTTTTAAAACTCTGTAACCATTTTGGTGTGGGGCTTAGCTTCGTATTTTCAAATTGAAATATTCTCTTCCTTAACGTCCGCATAAATCCAAGTTCACAATTTTTATTATTTTAAAATTTTATTTATTTTTGTTTTGGGGACAGGGTCTCCTCCTGTCACCCAGGCTGGATTGCAATGGCACAATCATAGCTCACTGCAGCCTGGAACTCCCTGGCTCAAGCGATCCTCCTGCCTCCAATTCCCAAAGAGCTGAGATTATAGGCATGAACCACTGCAACTCACCCAAATCCAAGTTTATACTAAAAGATAAAATTCCAACATTTCAGAGAAAATGAAAGTCACAAAGTTATCCCAGTCTCTGAAGTCACTGTCAAAACTTTGGTGAGGAATCTTCCAGGTTTTCCCCTACTTAAAATATATATTAATATTATGTAAGTAATATTAGCGGCATTTTCACCCAGGCTGGAGTGCAGTGGCACGATCTCAGCTCACTGCAACCTCCACCTCCCGGGTTCAAGCAATCCTCCTGCCTCAGCCTCCCGAGTAGCTGGGACTACAGGCGCCGGCCACCATGCCTGGCTAATTTTTGTATTTTCAGTGGAGACAGGGTTTCACCATATTGACCAGGCTGATCTCGAACTCCTGACCTCAGGTGATCTGCCCACCTTGGCCTTCCAAAGTTCTGGGATTACAGGCGTGAGCCACTGGGCCCAGCCTCCTTAACCTTTTAAAAAAGGTTAAAAGTATGCTGGGCACTTCTTTTCATAGCAATACTTAAAAGCGATCTTACTCTTTTTAATGACTGTATAGAATTTTATAATATAACTCTTCTTTGGGAGACAATTGAAATGTTCTTTATCTTCACTGTGGTAGTGGAGATGTGGGTGTGTACAACAGCTAAAATTCAACAAGTTGAACACTTTAAATAGATGCAGTTTATTGCATGCAAAGTATGTCCCAATATGATGATTTAAAAATATTATCGTCTTTGAGATTTGTACTTTGCTTATGTGAAACAAAACAAAACAAAAACCCTGTTCTTGTGCCCAGGAGACACACCCTGACTCATCTGGAGGTAGAGGGTCATGCTGTCTGCAACTTACCCTCACAGGCTCTGAAATAACAATAATAGCAGTATATTTACAGATTCAGAAAGAGAGAAAGCTATAGTAAAAATGTTCATAAGTAAAACTAGATAAAGGTCAAAAATAAATAATAAAACTACGTCTTTTAAATTTTATCTCTCCTTTACTTTTTCTCTCCCCTTTTCTTCCTATCTCTTCCCTCCTTTCTTAACACGTTCCCCTATCCTTCCCTCCTTTCACCACTCTCTGCACTTGATCCCCGGTGTATTCCAGCCCCCAGGCCAACACACTTCACCGCGTCCGCCTGGGGCAGGTCAGAGAAGGGACGCGAGGCGGCGCTGTCACAGCATTCTATGCGCCCCAGCGCCCTGGGCCGCGCAGGTCTTTTATCATTTCAGTGGTCACTCCCGTCTTTGACGGGGCCACACTCGGGGTGTAAATTAGGATCCTCACTGAAGCGGCGGGACCCTGAGAGGCTTTTTCCTGGCCCCTTAGTTGTGGGTTTTCCTGCGGGCGGTGGAGTCCGTTTCCATCAGAACCGCCCAGAGGCGGGCGCTGCCTTCCAGGGGTGAAGCGTTTTCGGACCCTGGAATCTGTGGGCGGCCTGCGGGAGGGGCTGAGGCGCAGTTCCCTACTCACTCAGATCCGAATCCACCGCGGTGCTGTTTCCAGCGAGTCAGATTCCAGATCGCGCTCCAGCCTGGACTCGGAATTCCTGCCCCGCGGGTCTGCATTTTCACAGCGGCAGGTGTGAGTGCCGCGCAGCTGGAGACCAGAAGCCTGAGGCAGCTCGGCCCTCCCCAGCCCAAAGTGCCGTTATTCCGTTTCTGTATCAGTAAACACGTTTCATTTTTCGGAGACCAGGGAAGGGTGATGGGTGATCCCAGTCCTCGCAGTGAATTCCGGGCCACAAAATTCAAAACGCTTGCTGGCAAAGCCGTGCGCGGTGGCTCAAGCCTGTAATTCCAGCACTTTGGGAGGCCGAGGCGGGCGGATCACCTGAGGTCGGGATTTCCAGACCAGCCTGACCAACATAGAGAAACCCCGCCTCTACTAAAAATACAAAATTAGCCGGGGGTGGCGCATGCCTGTAATCCCAGCTAGTCGGGAGGCTGAGGCAGGAGACTCACTTGAACCCGGGAGGCGGAGGTTGCTGTGAGCCGAGATCGCGCCACTGCACTCCAGCCTGGGCAACAAGAGCGAAACTCCGTTTCAAAAAAAAACAAAAAACAAAAAGCTTTCGGGCGCCGAGGGCAGCCCCGCCCTGAATTTTGTGAGCGCCCGCGCTGGGCCGTTTCTCTTTCTTTTCCGGACCCTGCAGTGGCGCCTAAAGTCTGCGAGGAGGAAGTCGCCTCTGTGCTCGTGAGTCCAGGGATCTAAGGCAAGTGCTGAGGGAGAAAACATAGTTGATGGGGCAGAGCAGAGGGGGCTGGAGGTGGGGTGGAGGGGGAGGGCTTTGAACAGAAGACCTGGGAGGCTTGGTGGGGGAGGGGACCCAGGCCTCGGCGCTGAGAAGCAACTCCCCTGGAGCTCAAGACCTTCTTGGCCTCCCCTAGCCCAGGGGAGGACTGGCTTCATGTCTCCCTGAAACCGCTTCTAAATGCCTTAGAACAAACCTTAAATATTCATTATTATTATTGAACTATTAAAAGTCTTTTTTGGAGGCGAGCTGAATGAGACCCTTTGCTGGAGCTGGCACACGGAGGAAGTCCTGGAGGGAGGGTAGACACCGTGGAGGGAAGGGCTTGGGACCTGTGTCAGGAGAGCTGGGTCCATCTCCCTCTCTGTCTCAAACTATGCTTATGATCTTTAGCAGTGAAAATAATCTCTCTAAGGTGGGGACAGGACCCCAGTCCCTGCTGTGCTTAATAAATTATGAGGATCAAAATAAATTATCAGTGAATGTGTATGGGAAGACTAAGAAATTGTTAAAGTTCTCGAATACATTACATTTTCATCCACAGAAAAGTGTAGGCTAGGGATGATAGGGGAATAGTTAGTAATGACAGGGATAGTTGAACTTAAAAAAAAAGGTTGTGAGGCCAACAAAAAAGAAATGGACACAGTTCCTGATCCTGGAGGGTTCATAGTCTAATGGGAGAGGAGGGTAGAAGATGGTAGGTGATGGCTGGGTGTGTGGCACTCGCCTCGCCTGTAGTCCCAGCTACTCAAGAGGCTGTGGTGGGAGGACTGCTTGAGCCCAGGCATTTGAGGCTGCAGTGAGCTATAATCACGCCACTGCATTCCAACTGAGTGACACAGCAAGACTCCTCTCTTAAAAAAATAAAATAAAATAAATGAAAAAAATAAGATTCAAGACAGGGCACAGTCGGTACCATCAGGAAGGTTCAAACCATGGGCTAGATCAGTAGTTCTAAAACTTGACTACACATCGGAATCACGCAGGGAACTTTAAAAGATACTAAGGTTTAGGTCCAACCTAGGTTTACTGATTTAACTGGTTGTGGCTGTGGCCTGGGAACATGGATATTAAAAACTCTCCAGGTGGTTCTACGCAGTGGCTAGGTTTGAAGACCACTGCCTAGATGTCCCAATGACTAAGAATGTGCGCTGGGGACAAGCCAATTCTCTTAGTAGAGGCTTTCCAGACAGAATTCTTATTATTGAGAATTGAGAATTCATATGCCACACATAATTTATCGTTTTAAAGTGTACAGATCAGTGGCTTCTAGCATAATCACAAGGTTGTGCCACCGTCACCACTATCTACTTGGGAAGATTTTCTTCCTTTTTTTCTTTTTTTTTTTTTTTGAGGCGGAGCCTTGCTCTGTTGCCCAGGCTGGAGTGCAGTGGCGCAATCTCAGCTCACTGCAAGCTCCGCCTCCCGGGTTGACCCCATTCTCCTGCCTCAGCCTTCTGAGCAGCTGGGACTACAGGTACCCGCCACCACGCCCAGCTAAGTTTTTTGTATTTTTAGTAGAGACGGGGTTTCACTGTGTTAGCAGGATGCTCTCCATCTCCTGACCTCGTGATCTGCCCACCTCGACCTCCCAAAGTGCTGGGATTACAGGCGTGAGCCACCGTGCCCGGACCCTTTTTCCTTTTTTTTTTTTTTAAAGGCTAGTCAAGTGAAACAGTGGGAGTGAAGATGAAACAAAAACATCTATAACTGGTTGTGATCAATTAGTTGTAAACACCACTGCACTCAGACCAGCCTAATTGGGAAGATTTTGAGGATATGCTGTGGTCTGATGGGTTCCAAGGCAGAGGTGACAGTAACCTGGAAGAGGGAGACTGCTTAGGCAGTGGCATCCTGGTGGGATAGGGTGAGGAGATCCCAGAGCCCACGTTTACTGCAACCCTGGGGAAATGTCACCAGAGAAATGGGGGTGGTGCCAGACAATAGATTGTGGGAGCTATGGTTTCCATGGTAGAGTAGAAGCATCTACCATGTGTGACATTCAGCAGATGGGGCGCTGTGGGTGGCTTGGAGCACTCTGGTTGTAACTGAGGCAGGCACAGTGTTTAGGAAGCCTGTGCAGTAATCCAGACTGAAGGGAGGGGAAAGCCTAGACTAAGACTATGGCTGTGGGATTGAAATAGCGTTGAAGGAGCTGACTTTGACTCCCGGAGATGAAGGGGAAAGAGGAAATCAGAAGGGACCAAGGATGGTGAAGTTCTTAAGAGAAACTGAGGAGGAAGAGAGGATGATGTGGTGGGAGACGTGTAGAGAGTCCTTGTAGATCTGTCACATTGAAGGGGACTATGGTCCCAGAGGTACAGATGTCCTAAAACAGGCTGGAAAAGGGAGTCTGGAGAGAGCTTGGTGTTGTAATGAACCATGGGGAGCCGCCTCGTTGGCCCTGTGATTACCCAGGAACTGAATAGAGAGGGGGCCCTGGGAGACCTCAGACACTTAGAGGATATAAGGGGGTGAAAGGGGGGACCTGGCTTTGAGTCGAAGGGAGGAGAAGGAGATTATATAGCTGAAACGTCTAAGAGAATTTGTGATCTGAGCGTTTCTACTGGGGCAAGTGCTTCTGAAAGGCAGAGGCGGCTGAGATCTGGAAACAGGTCTGCAAATCTGGTCACTGGTCTCATTGCAGTAACGCTGTGCGCGGTTGAGGGAGTGTATTGGCAGAAAAACCACGCGTTGTCTGTCCCGGAAGGAACAAGCCAGTGAGAGCCGGCCTGATGGGAGGACCGCCGAAAGGGGCTTGGTGAAGCCCGCGCTCCTTGGGGGTGGGAATGCGGGGATGGGGTGGTCGCGATGCAGGGAGGGCGACAGGGTCCAGGTCGTGCTCATAAGTTTGGAGCTGTACTCTCAGCTACTCGGGGCTGGTCCTTGATTTTGGCTGCGCTCGCGCACGCTCCCCCTTTTCTGGCCGCCAGGTCCCGCCTTCTAAATTTCCCCAGGTCTCCAGGCCGCTAGAATTTTCTCTTCTGAACGTGGCCCCGCCCTCTCCACTCATGATTGGCCAAGTTCCGGGCCTCAGTTTTCACTGGATAAGCGGTCGCTGAGCGGGGCGCAGGTGACTAAATTTCGACGGGGTCTTCTCACCGGTTTCATTCAGTTGGCCACTGCTGAGCAGCTGAGAAGGTGGCGACGTAGGGGCCATGGGGCTGGGCCGGGTCCTGCTGTTTCTGGCCGTCGCCTTCCCTTTTGCACCCCCGGCAGCCGCCGCTGGTGAGTGGGGTTCCTGGCGGTCCCCGGCGGAGCGGGAGCGGCGGGGCGTTTCCGGGGGTCCGGGTGGGTTGCCGCGAGCGCTGTGCGGTCAGGGCGGGGCTCAGGTGTGCTGTCTGGAGTGCAGGGAGCTGGACGCCGCCTGTTCCCGCCACACCTCAGCCCTGCTTTCCCATCTCCCGTCTCTTTTTTTTTTTTTTTTTTTTTTCTTTCTGAGACGGAGTCTCTGTCGCCTAGGCTGTAGTGCAGTGGCGCGATATTGGCTCACTGCAAGCTCCGCCTCCCGGGTTCACGCCATTCTCCTGCCTCAGCCTCCCTAGTAGCTGGGACTACAGGCGCCCGCCACCACGCCCGGCTAATTTTTTGTGTTTTTAGTAGAGATGGGGTTTCACCGTGTTAGTCAGGATGGTCTCGATCTCCTGACCTCGTGATCCGCCCGCCTCGGCCTCCCAAAGTGCTGGGATTACAGGCGTGAGCCACCGCGCCCGACCTCCCGTCTCCTTTCAGTCCTCCTCGGGATCGCGCATCACCCGCATTTTCTGGTCTCCTCCTGCACTTGCTCTCCTCGCCTCTCCTCCGTCTCCTCTCACTTTTCGGACAAACCAGTCCTTCTGAGGCCCCTGGGTTCCCGGGCTGCTCCTGTGAATGGCATTGGAAGGCCGTTCCAGCGCGGCCGCTGAGGCAGCCACTTCCCCCGGTGCTGGGGGCGGATCTCAGGTCCCTGAAGTCCTGTCCTCTCCCGGAGCCGATGTGTTCTCAGCTCCTGGGCCGCAGCTCCTGGAGTTGGGGCCCTCCTTTCTTGGGACCCGGAGGTGGTGCTTCTTGCTACTGTGAGGACTGTGGGGGGTCCTGACTCTCAAGCTGAGGGGTTGGAGTCTGCAGGCTCCGGGCAGAGGATTCTTCCTGCGACTTCTGTCATCCCCAGCTCATTCTCCCCTCGCCTCCGGCTCCGGGGGTCCTCTCCTCTCTCGCATCCCACCCCTACTAATGACCAATGATCTAAGGACACCAGATTCCCTCTCACCTCCTCCCTGCCCATCTTACGGCGCCCTGGGTCCTTTTGCTCTCCCAGCTCCCTGCTACCCCTTCCTGTGTGCTGTTCTCTGATCCATTTCTAGAGTGTCCTCTGCCTTCATCCCCCGCCCCCGCCACTGAAGGTCCCTCCTGCCTCCTTTATGGGCCTTTCCTGCAAGCAGCCTTCACTCCGTGCTGCCCCTATGCCTCCCCATTCCCAAATGTCCCTGACTCTAACTTTCTGGTGCTGCCTTTTGTCCGGGGGGGTCTTCCCTCCATCCCACTCCCCTCCAGACCCCTAAGGAGAGCCCTGATGCTAATGGCAGTTGGGCCTTAGGCAGGGCGCAGGGCAGCGCAGATGCCCCCTCCCCTCCAGTGCAGGTGCCTGCTCTGGGCCCTGCCTCATTGTGGCCCCTTCCCCACTCCTTCATCCTCAGCCTCACCCTCTTGAGGACCCCACCCTCCAGCCCACAGGTGCTGGACCATCCCTCCCTGGTCCCTCCGCCCCTCTCCACCTTGGGACCTTGTGCTGCTCCTATCTCTTGCCCAGCTGCCTGGGGCCCTCAGCAAGTTCTCATCTTTCAGTGGGAAAGTGGGAGTGCTGGAGCATATGACAGTGCTGAGAATCTTTCCCAAGCCCCACCCTCCCCCAGAGCACCCTCCCCTCCTGTCCTCACCCTACCCCAAGTTCTCCCACAGTCACTCCTGCCCCATGCTCATGCCGCCCTCCAGTTCTTGCTCTGCCCATCTCCCCTCCCCAACCCAGACCTAAAACAGGCTGTTGGGCCAGCTGTTCCTTGACCTTCCTTCTTTTCTTTTGGTTCCTTGACCCCAGTGGGCTCTCACTCCCCACACCGCATATCTAAAATCTGTTTTGCCTGCTCTTGGGGTGCCACTGCTCCCCCTCCAGCATTACTCCTTTTGGCAGGTCCTTCCTCAGGCTGAGAATCTCCCCCTCTACCTTGGTTTTCTCTCTCTGGCCAGCACCCCCACTCCTTGCTTTGTTTTTAATTTTTAACTTTTGTTTGGGTACGTAGTAGATATGTATGTATATATTTATGGGGTACATGGGATATTTTGACACAGGCCTACAATATGTCATAATCACATCAGGGTAAATGGGTTATCTATCACAACAAGCATTTATCCTTTCTTTGTGCTACAAACAATCCCATTATGCTCTTTCAGTTATTTTTAAATGTACAATAAATTATTGTTGGCTGTACTCACCCTGCTGTGCTATCTACTAGATCTTATTCATTCTAACTATATTTTTGTACCCATTAACCATCCGCACTCCCCCACTCCCCACTACCCTTCTCAGCCTCTGGTAATCGTCATTCTATTGTCTCTCCCCATGAGGTCCATTGTTTTAATTTTTGGCTGCCACAAATAAGTGAGAACATGCGAAGTTTGTCTCTCTGGGCCTGGGGCTTATTTCACTTCACATGATGACCTCCAGTTCTTTGCAAATGACATGGTGGCTGAATAGTACTCCACATACACGTGTGCACCACATTTTCTTTCTCCATTCGTCTGTTGATGGACACTTAGGTCGCTTGCAGATCTTGGCTATTTTGAATAGTGCTGCAATAAACATGGAAAAGTAGATAGCTCTTTAATATACCGATTTCCTTTCTTTTGGGTATATGCCTAACAGTGGGAGTGCTGGAGCATATGACAGCTCTATTATATTTTTAGTTTTTGGAAGAACCTCCACATTATTTCCCACAGTGGTTATACTAGTTTACGTTCCCACCAACAGTGTACAAGGGTTCTCTTTTGCTACATCCTCGCCAGGATTCCTTATTGCCTGTCTTCTGGATAAAAGCCAGTTTATCTGGGGTGGGATGATATCTCGTAGGAGTTTTGATTTGCCTTCATCTGATGACGAATGATGTTGAGCACCTTTTGATATACCTGTTTGCCATTTGTATGTCTTCTTTTGAGAAATGACTATTCAGATCTTTTGCTCATTTTTAAGTTGGATTATTAGATATTTTTCCTATAGAGTTGTTTGAGATCCTTATATGTTTTGGTTACTAATCCTTTGTCAGATGAATAGTTTGAAAATATTTTCTCCCATTCTTGGATGGTCTCTTCACTTTGTTTATTGTTTCCTTTGCTGTGCAGAAGCTTTTTAACTTGATATGATCCCATTTATGCATTTTTACTTTGGTTGCCTGTGCTTGTGGGGTATTACTTAAAAAATCTTTGCCAGTCCAATATCTTAGAGAGTTTCCCCAATGTTTTCTTTTATAGTTTTCATAGTTTGAGGTCATAGATTTACATCTTTAATCCTTTTTGATTGGATTTTTATATGTGGTGAGAGATAGGGTCCAGTTTCATTCTTCTGCATAAGGATATCTAGTTTCCCCAGCACCATTTATTGAAGAGACTCTCCTTTGCCCTGTATGTGTTCTTGGTAACTTTGTTAGAAATAACTTCACTGTAGATATATGGATTTGTTTCTGGGTTCTCTATTCTGTTTCATTGGTCCGTGTGTCTGTTTTTATGCCACTACCGTGCTGTTTTGATTACTCTAGCTCTGTAGTATAATTTGAAGTCAGATAATGTGATTCCTCTAGTTTTGTTCTTTTTGTTCAGGGTAGCTTTATCTATTCTGGGTTTTTTGTGATTCCATATACATTTTAGGATTGTTTTTCTATTTCTGTGAAGAATGTCATTGGTGTTTTGATAGCAATTGCATTGAATTTGTAGATTGCTTTGGGTAGGATGGATATTTTAACAAAATTGATTCTTCCGGCTGGGCACGGTGGCTCACTCCTGTAATCCCAGCACTTTGGGAGGCCGAGTCAGGTGGATCACTTGAGATCAGGAGTTCAAGACCAGCCTGATCAACATGGAGAAACCCCGCCTCTACTAAAAATACAAAATTAGCCAGGCGTGGTGGCATATGCCTGTAATCCCAGCTACTCAGGAAAGCTGAGGCAGGAGAATCGCTTGAACCCAGGAGGCAGAGGTTGTGGTGAGCTGAGATTGCACCATTGCACTCCAGCCTGGGCAACAGGAGCAAAACTCCATCTCAGAAAATAAAAATAAACATTGATTCTTCCAGTCCATGAACATGGAATGCCTTTTCCATTTTTTGTGTCCTCTTCAATGTTTTGCATCAGTGCTTTATAGTTTTTATTGGAGAGATCTTTCACTTCTTCAGTTAAGTCTATTCCTAGGTATTTTATTTTATTTGTAGCTAATGAAAATGGGATTCGTTTCTTGATTTCTTTTTCAGATTATTTGCTGTTAGCACATAGAAATGCTATTGATTTTTGCATGTTGATTTTGTATCCTGCAACTTTACTGAATTTGTTCTTCAGTTCTAATAGTTTTTTGGTGGAGTCTTTAGGTTTTCCAAATATCAGACCACATGATGTGCAAACAAGGATAATTTGACTTCTTCTTTTCCAATTTTGATGCCCTTTATTTCCTTCTCCTGTCAGATTGCTCTAGCTAGGACTTGCAGTATTGTGTTGCATAACTGTAGTGAAAGTAGTCATCCTTGTCTTGTTCCAGATCTTAAAGAAAAGGCTTTCAGTTTTCCCCCATTCAGTATGTTACTAGCTGTGAGTTGTCATATATGGCTTTTATTATATTGAGGTCTGTTCCTTGTATACTCAGTTTTTTTAGAGTTTTTATCATGAAGGGATGTTAAACTTATCAAATGCTTTTTCAGTATCAATTGAAATGGTGATATGGCTTTTGTCCTTTATTCTGTTGATACGATGTATTACATTGATTGATTTGTGTATGCATACCTGGAATACATTCCACTTGGTCATGAAGAATGATCTTTTTAATATACTGTTGAATGTGGTTTGCTAGTATTTCATTGATGATATTTGCCTCAATGTTCATCAGGGATATAGGCCTGTAGTTTTCTTTTTTTGATGTGTCTTTGCCTGATTTTGATATCAGGATATTCCTGGCTTTGTAAAATGAGTTTGGAAGTATTCCCTCCTCCTCTGTTTTTCAGAACAATTTGAATAGGACTGATATTTCTTGTTCTTTAAACGTTTAATTGTGGTAAATTATACATTACATAAATTTTACTGTTTTAACCGCTTTTAAGTGTATACTCGGTGGCATTAGATACATTCACATTTTTGTGCAACCCAAAACTCTGTACCCATTAATCGGTAACTCCCCATTCCTCCCTACCTCTGGCCCCTGGTAACCATCATTCTACTTTTTGTTTCTATGAATTTGACCACTCTAGGTACCTCATTTAAGTAGAATCGTGTAATGTTTGTCTTTTTGATTCTGGCTTATTTCACTTATAATATTTCGAGGTTCATCCAGGTTGTAGTATGGGTCAGATTTTCATTCCTTTTAATGATGAATAATACTCATTATATGTATGTACCACACCTTGGTTATCCATTCCTCAGACAATGGACACTTGGGTTACTTCTACCTTTTGGATATTGGCAAATATTTCATTTCTCTTGGGTATATATTTATTTCTTTTGAGTATTTCTTTTGGGTATATATCCAGAAATAGAATTGTTGGATCATACGGTATTTCATTTTTTAATTTTTAGAGGAATCACCATAGTGTTTTCCATTGCAGGCGTGCCATTTTGTATTTCTAGAAGCAGTATACAGGGGCTTCAGTTTCTCTACCTCCTTGCCAAACTTGCTGTTTGTGTGTGTGTGTGTGTGTGTGTGTGTGTGTGTGTGTGTGTGATAATAGCCACCCTGATTGGTTTGAAGTGGTATCTCATTGTGGTTTGGATTTGCATTTTCCTAATGAGTACTGATATTGAGCATCTTTTCATGTGTTTATTGATCATTTGTATATTTTCTTTGAAGAATTGGCCATTGAAGTCTTGCCCATTTTTCTCCCCCACATAGCTTCTCATGGCTATTTTGCCCATTTTTGAGTGGGTTGACTGTTTTGTTGTTTTTGTCAAACTTTTTTGCATATTCTGGAAACTAATCTCTCTCTTTTTCTTTTTTTTTTTTTTTTTTTTTTTTGAGATGGAGTCTTGCTCTGTTGCCCAGGCTGGAGTGCAGTGGCACGATCTCAGCTCACTGCAAGCTCCACCCGCTAGCTTCATGCCATTCTCCCACCTCAGCCTCCCTAGTAGCTGGGACTACAGGCGCCCGCCACCACACCCGGCTAATTTTTTGTATTTTTAGTAGAGATAGGGTTTCACCATGTTAGCCAGGATGGTCTCAATCTCCTGACCTGGTGATACACCCGCCTCGGCCTCCCAAAGTGCTGGAATTACAGGCTTGAGCCACCACGCCTGGCCTTCTGGAAGCTAATCTCTTATCAGATATATGACTTGCAATATTTATTTCATTTCAGGGGTTGATTGCTTTCTCACTCTGATTGTGCCCTTTGATGCACAGATATTTTGAATTTTTCATGAGTCCAGTTTGTCAGTTCTTTCTATTCTATCTGTGCTTTGGCGTCATATCCATGAAAGCACTGTCAAACCCTATGTCATGAACATTATACCCAATGTTTTTTTCTAAGATATTTTTATGTTTTAGTTCTTGAGTTTAGAGTTTAGGTCTTTGATTCATTTTGAGTTAATTTTTGTATATAGTACAAATTAAGGGTCCAATTTTATATTATTTGAACATCCAGTTCCCCCAGCACTATTTGCTGAAAAGATGGACTTACTCTTTGATACCCTGTCACCTGCCCACCCCAGTGGACACTAGCTGGTCCATCCAATTGCTGTCCTGGGGCCTTGTCATGCCACTCTTCCACTTTGAACCCAAGCCCACATCATTGCTCCCCTCTGGGATACTGACCCCACTATAAACTTCTCTAGGGCTACAACCTTCCTACCCCTTGTGCCTCATGACCACCCCCTCCCTTGTCCCCACCATGCCCATGATGAGTCTTTTCTCAAGGCAGCTCGCCTTGCCTCCATCTCACCCTCACCTGTGCACCACAGCCACACTGGACATGGGTCCCTCTGAGCCTGAGTCCCTTCCCATTCCCACTGTCCCCTCTGGCAAGACCTTCCTTCCAACACTGCCTTCATGCTCCTCCCTTGCCCCTGCAGGGCAGCCTCTCCCCTTGGCCCCTATTCCCTTAGGGGGCTTGTGGCCACCCAGTCCTGGCACCTGACCTACAAGTTTGCCATCTTCATTCCCCCTTCTTCTGTTCATCAGCCCCCTCCTCTATCCTCCCACCCTCACAGTTTTCCTTGTATATGAAATCTTCGTTCTTGTCCTTTTGCCCATGTGCATTTCCTGCCTCCTCAGGGAGGTCGGGACAGCAGACCTGTGTGTTAAACATCAATGTGAAGTTATTTCCAGGAAGAAGTTTCACCTGTGATTTCCTCTTCCCCAGAGCCCCACAGTCTTCGTTACAACCTCATGGTGCTGTCCCAGGATGGATCTGTGCAGTCAGGGTTTCTCGCTGAGGGACATCTGGATGGTCAGCCCTTCCTGCGCTATGACAGGCAGAAACGCAGGGCAAAGCCCCAGGGACAGTGGGCAGAAGATGTCCTGGGAGCTGAGACCTGGGACACAGAGACCGAGGACTTGACAGAGAATGGGCAAGACCTCAGGAGGACCCTGACTCATATCAAGGACCAGAAAGGAGGTGAGAGTCGGCAGGGGCAAGAGTAATGGGAGGCCTTCTCCAGGAAAGTTGGAGACAGAGAGCAGGGACCTGTCTCTTCCCGCTGGATCTGGCTGGGGGTGGGGATGAGGAATAGGGTCAGGGAGGCTCAGCAGGGTGGTGAGCCGGAACTCAGCCCACACAGGGAGGCATGGAGGAGGGCCAGGGAGGGGTCGCCGCTGGGCTGAGTTCCTCACTTGGGTGGAAAGGTGATGGGTTCGGGAATGGAGAAGTCACTGCTGGGTGGGGGCAGGCTTGCATTCCCTCCAGGAGATTAGGGTCTGTGAGATCCATGAAGACAGCAGCACCAGGGGCTCCCGGCATTTCTACTACAATGGGGAGCTCTTCCTCTCCCAAAACCTGGAGACTCAAGAATCGACAGTGCCCCAGTCCTCCAGAGCTCAGACCTTGGCTATGAACGTCACAAATTTCTGGAAGGAAGATGCCATGAAGACCAAGACACACTATCGCGCTATGCAGGCAGACTGCCTGCAGAAACTACAGCGATATCTGAAATCCGGGGTGGCCATCAGGAGAACAGGTACCGACCCTGGCCAGGGGCTCTACTGTTCCCGCAATTCTGCTAGA
The DNA here is from genome assembly GCF_000001405.40 of Homo sapiens. Lineage (NCBI taxonomy): Eukaryota > Metazoa > Chordata > Mammalia > Primates > Hominidae > Homo > Homo sapiens. The sequence goes on from NT_167247.2 coordinate 2,848,427, forward strand.
GTTGCCTCGCCTCCCAGCTCTGTCCAGGGAAACCCTCCCTGTGCTATGGATGCAGGCGTTTCCTGTTGGCATATTGTGTCCTGATTTGCCTCTCCTGTTAGAGCCATTGGATAAAGACAGTGGGTCTGGGACTGAACTGTCCAGTGTTGTAATCTGGGAAAGCAGTGGGCCCTCTGACAGAAGCCTGAGCCTGGGGTGGGAGTTAGGCAGGAGAGGAAGCCCTCAGGGCCAGGGCTGCCCCCTCTGCCTCCCGGCCTGCCCATCCCGGAGAGTTCCCTCCTGGCCCCATGACCCAGGAGTCCACCCTTGACATCCCCCTCCTCAGCATCAATGTGGGGATCCCAGAGCCTGAGGCCACAGTCCCAAGGCCCATCCTCCTGCTAGCCTGGAGGAATTAGGCCCCAGGGTGAGGACAGACTTACAGAAGGTCTGGGATCTGTGAGGGATTCAGCCAGAGTGAGAACAGTGGAGAGGAGCAGCCCTGTTCCCTGCATCTCCCTTAGAGGGGAGCAGGGCTTCACTGGCTCTGCCCTTTCTTCTCCAGTGCCCCCCATGGTGAATGTCACCTGCAGCGAGGTCTCAGAGGGCAACATCACCGTGACATGCAGGGCTTCCAGCTTCTATCCCCGGAATATCACACTGACCTGGCGTCAGGATGGGGTATCTTTGAGCCACAACACCCAGCAGTGGGGGGATGTCCTGCCTGATGGGAATGGAACCTACCAGACCTGGGTGGCCACCAGGATTCGCCAAGGAGAGGAGCAGAGGTTCACCTGCTACATGGAACACAGCGGGAATCACGGCACTCACCCTGTGCCCTCTGGTGAGCCTGGGGTGACCCTGGAGAGGGTCAGGCCAGGGTAGGAACAGCAGGGACGGCTGTGGCTCTCTGCCCAGTGTATAACAAGTCCCTTTTTTTCAGGGAAGGCGCTGGTGCTTCAGAGTCAACGGACAGACTTTCCATATGTTTCTGCTGCTATGCCATGTTTTGTTATTATTATTATTCTCTGTGTCCCTTGTTGCAAGAAGAAAACATCAGCGGCAGAGGGTCCAGGTGAGAAAAGGGGACAGTTTCTGGAGATGGGAAAGCTCCTTTCTAGGCAGTAGGGTCTCCTCATTGCTCCTGCCCAGACAAGACGTAGGTGACAAGGCTGCTGGAACAGGGGATGGAAGCTGGGGTATTTGGGAGGGGAATGGGAGCTGCATCTCCATCTACACCCATAAGTGCTTCTCAAGCCAGGGCTGGGGCAAGGCCTTCGAATATCCAGCTGTGGCCTCCTCCTGCTGCAAGTGAGGAGTGGGCAGCAGGGAGGGCTGTGGCACCTGCTCTGTCCCCATCCCAGCCTCTCTGTCTCTCGGGCTCACTAGGGTGCGTCCAGGTGGGGTGAGTTGGGAATCACGTGCTGATTGCTGAGGGCCTGGATGATCATGGTGTCAGAGGGAGGAAATAGTAAAGGTGGCTGTGATCTGGGGAGGGCCAGAAACTGGAGAGGAATCCAAGGAGAGGCGGTGCCCACCCGTGTGCCTCCTCCAGGAGGCACTTTCCAGGTTCCCACCACCTGGCCTCCCTGAGTTTCCTTGCAGATGACACAGATGAATAGATAAGCAGATGTCCCTGGGCCATTTGAGGAGCGGGGCCCAGCCCCTCATCAGGGCAGTTGTGGTCCCTGTTTTCATCCTACCTCCAGCGTGTTTTCTTCTGCAGTCCCTGAGGGACACAGTCCCCAGGCGCCATCTCTTTGAGGCTTTGTTCTGTGCTCTGTGGCCTTACCTTGCCCTCCCTGAGCCAATTTCCCTTTCTCAAGGTGGTCACTGCCTGGTAAGTTTGGAGTAAGGGACGGTCAGAAGCATTTCCCCCACAGTCAGGTTGTTTGATGGGGGATGAAAAGAGACAGCAGAAGTTTTGTGTTTCTGCAAAAACAGAGGCAGTGCAGGGGACAGTGAGAGGCTGGGGTGTCCAGGAGACCTGAGTCTGGCGGTAGGGGCGCTGGTTTCTCATCCTTGAACCTAATTGCACTGTCAGTCGGCCCCTCATGCCTGAGCAGATGGGAAGGTTCGTCCCCTGCCCTGCAGCAAGAGGGCCCTGTCCAGGAGGCACCCACAGCAGGGGCAGTGCAGGTCTGTGGTCACTCCTGCTCTCACCTGCGGCGTCTCCCGTGGAGGGATTGTCACTTCTGGTTCCCTGTGGGCAGGAATGGTTTCCTCGTAGGTCACTGGGGTTTTGGCCAGGAAAAGGGTATGAAATTCATGTGCCAGTTTATCAAAATTCCTGCTTTCAATGTTGATGTCCAATAAAGATGTTCGTAATTTCAGCTCTATAATCTTAATAGGATTTCCTCTAATACTGCTGTTGTAAAGCATATTAAATAAAACAGGAACTCAAATTTGGAGCCCCCTCTCCAGAAGGGTCTGTGTGGAGATGGTGGCTGTGGCAGCGGCAGTTCCCAGGTGCAGAGGGTGGGCAGAGGCAGCCTCAGGCTAAGGGGTCTCCCCTACTCCACGTGGAGAAAAGTCCTTGTAGGTTGCAAGGGCAGTGGCCTGGGTGGAATCCCTGCTAGGGACAGAGCAGGAAGGCCTCGCAGCCTCACCAAGCAGCAGCCCTGGGGTGAAGTAAGTGGACCAGGAGTAAGTGGACCAGGCAGGAGCAGTAGTGACTCAACAGCAGGTCACAGGCCTAGGTGGGTGCTGAAGGTCATGGGAGGCCAGGCCTCCTCGAGCAAGGTGGGGGGTCCCAGGGTCATGTCAGGTGCAGATCCTGTGGCAGCCATGTCTTTCCATGCTGGGCCTGCTGGGCCCCCCAGGCTTCCTGATGGGGTCCCCAGTTAGGAGCTGCCTGCTCAGGGCTGGGAGGGGAGGAGTGCTGAGCTGCAGATAGAGGGCAGGGCCCACAGTGGGCAGGGCCTGCCCTGGTGTGCAGGTGCCTCTGCAGGAGAGGAGGGCCTGGGGACTGAGAGCAAGGGTCAGGGCCTCTCTTTGGGGAGGCCTCTCACTGTAACAGGACTGGTCAGGCCTGAGAGGAGGGCACTGGGTTCCCTCTTGGGTCTTGTCCTTTTGTCTTGGGGCCCTTTCACTCCCTGCACGGTGAGTGGTGGGCACAGGACAGGGGCTGATGTTGATGGAGTGATGGGAGAGAACTGACAGGGGCTGGGAAAAGCAAGGAGGGAGGAAGAAAAAAGTGGGGGCCTCATCTTCTCTCAGAGAAAGGGTGAATCTGATTTTGGGGCAACTGAAGAGAGAAAAGTCCTTAGGGAATAAACACAACACTGCACCCAGTGGAGCATTTACCCGTTTCCCTCTTCTCCAGAGCTTGTGAGCCTGCAGGTCCTGGATCAACACCCAGTTGGGACAGGAGACCACAGGGATGCAGCACAGCTGGGATTTCAGCCTCTGATGTCAGCTACTGGGTCCACTGGTTCCACTGAGGGCGCCTAGACTCTACAGCCAGGCGGCCAGGATTCAACTCCCTGCCTGGATCTCACCAGCACTTTCCCTCTGTTTCCTGACCTATGAAACAGAAAATAACATCACTTATTTATTGTTGTTGGATGCTGCAAAGTGTTAGTAGGTATGAGGTGTTTGCTGCTCTGCCACGTAGAGAGCCAGCAAAGGGATCATGACCAACTCAACATTCCATTGGAGGCTATATGATCAAACAGCAAATTGTTTATCATGAATGCAGGATGTGGGCAAACTCACGACTGCTCCTGCCAACAGAAGGTTTGCTGAGGGCATTCACTCCATGGTGCTCATTGGAGTTATCTACTGGGTCATCTAGAGCCTATTGTTTGAGGAATGCAGTCTTACAAGCCTACTCTGGACCCAGCAGCTGACTCCTTCTTCCACCCCTCTTCTTGCTATCTCCTATACCAATAAATACGAAGGGCTGTGGAAGATCAGAGCCCTTGTTCACGAGAAGCAAGAAGCCCCCTGACCCCTTGTTCCAAATATACTCTTTTGTCTTTCTCTTTATTCCCACGTTCGCCCTTTGTTCAGTCCAATACAGGGTTGTGGGGCCCTTAACAGTGCCATATTAATTGGTATCATTATTTCTGTTGTTTTTGTTTTTGTTTTTGTTTTTGTTTTTGAGACAGAGTCTCACTCTGTCACCCAGGCTGCAGTTCACTGGTGTGATCTCAGCTCACTGCAACCTCTGCCTCCCAGGTTCAAGCACTTCTCGTACCTCAGACTCCCGAATAGCTGGGATTACAGACAGGCACCACCACACCCAGCTAATTTTTGTATTTTTTGTAGAGACGGGGTTTCGCCAAGTTGACCAGCCCAGTTTCAAACTCCTGACCTCAGGTGATCTGCCTGCCTTGGCATCCCAAAGTGCTGGGATTACAAGAATGAGCCACCGTGCCTGGCCTATTTTATTATATTGTAATATATTTTATTATATTAGCCACCATGCCTGTCCTATTTTCTTATGTTTTAATATATTTTAATATATTACATGTGCAGTAATTAGATTATCATGGGTGAACTTTATGAGTGAGTATCTTGGTGATGACTCCTCCTGACCAGCCCAGGACCAGCTTTCTTGTCACCTTGAGGTCCCCTCGCCCCGTCACACCGTTATGCATTACTCTGTGTCTACTATTATGTGTGCATAATTTATACCGTAAATGTTTACTCTTTAAATAGACATTTCTGGTCTGTGTTTTATTTCATGCGTCTGGGAGCGGATAAAGTGTGAGGTTCAGGGAGAAGGAGAGGTCTGTCTCAATGCTTTGACCCAGCATCAAAGCAATCTCCCCTCCTTGTTCCCTTTCCCTGCTAGTTCCCAATGACTGACAGATTCACAGCAGAACAGAAAGGACTGGGAAGGGATGGAGGTGGGACATCTGGCGCCAATATTCAGGGGCTGACCCTGTGAGGGAACATCTGCCCTGAAGAGTTGGAGCCTTCATGTGATGACACAGAGATCTCTGTCACTGTATTCAGGGAAAGGATCAAGCCTCACTCCCCATGCAGGGAGGAGGTTCTGGCTGTGATCCGGCCTGTGGGAGAAGTGAGGACCCGCTCCCTCTACAGTGACAGCCAAGAACCTGCAGGTGACAGAGAAGGCTTCCCCTCAACTGTCTCCTATCAGGTTCTTCCAGGCATCAAGGAATAGACCTGGGACATTGCCTCCAGTGACATGAACACACCCAGAAGTGAGGTGGCCCTGCCAGGGGGTCCTGGTGCTGCCACTTGTTTTGGGAGCTCAGTGTCTGGAGAGGGGTGTGGAGAGTAGGCTTTCTGCAAAACAGTAATCATGACCTATAAATTATTTTATTCTTCATTAGCTTTTTGCCATAAAATAAAACAGGTACCCAAAAAGAAAAACTGTCTGAAAATGTTGCCCTTTAATAATAATAATAAATAATAATAATAAAAGATAAACACCCTTTAACCACCAGAGATATAGAAGTTTGTCAGCCAGCCCAGAAACCATCATTTGCCCCAGCTCAGTGATAAAGGCTTCCCTTCCCCACATAAAATCACAGCCTGACCTTTATGATGATTGCTTCTTTGTTCTATTTTATATTTTCATCCTCTGAAATTGTAGTTTAGTTTTACCTTGGGATGTATAATTTTTGTTCTCTTTTTTCTTTTTTTTTTTTTAAGACGGAGTCTCACTCTGTCACCCAGGCTGGAGTGCAGTGGCATGATCTCGGCTCACTGCAAGCTCCGCCTCACGGGTTCATGCGATTCTCCTGCCTCAGCCTCCCGAGTAGCTGGGACTACAGGCGTCTGCCACCACGCCCGGCTAATTTTTTTGTATTTTTAGTAGAGACAGGGTTTCACCATGTTAGCCAGGATGGTCTCAATCTCCTGACCTCATGATCTGCCTGCCTCGGCCTCCCAAAGTGCTGGGATTACAGGCGTGAGCCACTGCACCTGGCCTGTTCTCTTTTTTTCTCTATGCTCCTCCTTGAAATTTTATTGTCTGGCTGAGTTTTCCATAGTTTGCATTTTGCTGGCTCCACCCCAAGGCATAGTTTAATATGGACCTGTTTTATCTGTACTTTCTACAAATTGGTAGTTGGCTACAGAGATTTGCTTATAGACTGACTTGATTTTCTTCTTGAATACTTCATTTATGGCACTCCATTGTATTCTTCCATCAGGAGGAAGAACTTAGTACTGGTTATTTACTTCTACTCTACTTTTAATTGCCATTGCTTTTCAATGGCTAAATCTGTTAATTCGTTATGGGTTGCAAAAGAATTATAGTCTCAGTCTCTCATTCCTTCCCCATTCACTAGCTGAATAATTTCTAAAATAAGAGATTTACCCTTGGCTGGATGCGGTGACTTACGCCTGTAATCCCAGCACTTTGGGAGGCCGAGGCTGGTGGATCACCTGAGGTCGGGAGTTCAAGACCATCCTGACCAACATGAAGAAACTGTGTCTCTACTAAAAACACAAAATTAGCCGGGAGTGGTGGCGCATGCCTGTAATCCCAGCTACTCGGGAGGCGGAAGTAGGAGAATTGCTTGAACCAGGAAGGCGGAGGTTGCAGTGAGCCGAGATGGCGCCATTGCACTCCAGCCTGGGCATCAAGAGTGAAACTCCGTCTCAAAATAAATAAATAAATAAAGTGGAGCACTTGACGGCCATGGGAGAGAATCGGTTATGACCACACACAGCAAGATGATGAGCCCAACAAAGATGATGAGCCCGACTACATGAAAACAACTTCTAATTTCATTCAATCAGAACCAACAGAACTCATCTACAGTGTTAAAAATCAAGACAGTGGCTACTCTAGGGTGGGGGAGGCTGGTTTATGACTCAACGGTGTTTCTTGGAGGGTGAAAATGATGTTGCTTGATGAAGGTGTTGTTTATCTGAGTTTTTACTTAGGCAAAACCCACTGCCCACCTGTGATTTGTCCACCTTTCTACATGCATGTTGTCCTTCATTCAAGTTTACATTTCTGGTGTTTTGAAACAATTCTCTCTAAGCTAATATAGAATTTCTCCTACTCCAAGTCCTTAGAAATGCTGCATTGAAAATACCAGTGAATTTTTTTTTAATTCCAGGAAATAAATGCCCATGACTCAGATATAAAAAGGAGAATCTACAAGAGCAGTAGGCTTGGGAGCTGACACCAGAACAGCTTTGGAAAGGGCTGTCGAGCCAGGAACTAGGAATCAAAACCCAAACAAGACCACAGGAGGTAGAGGGTAGAAATTATGCCCCAGTAGTGCATGAATGAATGAATCAAGGGCAGTGACTCATGGGTTGCCTGGCCAGTCTGGAACTTGGGGAAAATAAAGTTGTAAAATTGGGGGATGGAAGAGAGAAGTGTGCACTGACCACTTTCCATGGGAAGAGCATGTGAAGATAGAGGTTGCATATGGATGCCTGCCAGAGGGTCTCCAAGGGGCTGGGGCTCCCTGTAACCAGGTGAGCGAGATGGCTTGATGGATGATGCCACTCAGCCGCACAAGGCTTGCTCATGAGTCCCTGCACAAAGTGGCCGTGGTGGCTGGGATGGACACTGCATGGACAGAGCAATTGAGTCACCACTCACCAAGGCTGACCTGGCAGCTGCCACTGCTGAGGACCCAGCCTGCCAAAAGCAGCTGTTTCTTTGAACAGAGAAAAAAAACAGACAATGTTAATTAAGAGCAAGACAGTGTTATGACAGATAAATATGCCACTGCAGCTATAGTAGAGATGTAAACAATCTTGAAATTATAAAAAAAAAATGTCGATGGAAAAGACTTACTGCAAGTAAGAAGTTAAAACAGTTGTAAAAATTCTATCTCTGCCCAACTATATACAGATTGTTTCACAGGGAAGTCCTACTAAACCTTCAAAGAAGGTTATTGGACTTATTTAAAATATTCAAGAGAATGGAGCAAAATACAGAAAGCTAGGCAACTCACTTTATCAGCTATGAATAGTGTTAATTCTAAAGCCAGTTAGGGAACAAATAATAAAGAAACAAGATAGGAAAATCACTATTAGTAATTAGATGTAAAATAGATGAGAAAAATAGTAGACTGTGTCCATCAGTGTGCTATAAACAAATTAAATATCTTGACCAAGTTATGAATCCCAAGAATAAAAGAATATTTAAACTTTAAATCTTTTAATGCATTTTAACACTTAATTCAATAATTTAAAAAGAGACAATCATATTTCACTAGATGTAGAAATCACTGTAGATGAAATCTAACACTACACCTGACCTACATTTCTTCAGTTATCTCCACTTTTAAGAATTTGTGATCAGTGCAGCACTATTCACAATAGCAAAGGTAAGGAATCAACCCAGATGCCCATCAACAGTGGAATGGATAAAGAAAACTGCGGCACAGGGCCAGGCGCGGTGGCTCATGCCTGTAATCCCAGCACTTTGGGAGGGTGAGGCGGGCAGATCACGAAGTCAGGAGTTCGAGACCATCCTGGCTAACACAGTGAAACCCCGTCTCTACTAAAAATACAAAAAATTAGCCGGGCGTGGTGGCGGGCGCCTGTAGTCCCAGCTACTCGGGAGGCTGAGGCAGGAGAATGGCATGAACCCAGGAGGTGGAGTTTGCAGTGAGCCGAGATCACGCCACTGCACTCCAGCCTGGGTGACAGAATGAGACTCCGTCTCAAAAAAAAAATAAAAGAAAAGAAAAGAAAACTGCAGCACTTATACACCATGGTACGCTACCCAGCCAAAAAAACAAGAACGAAATCATGTCCTTCACAGCAACATGGATGGAGGTGGAGACCATTATTCTAAGCAAATTAATGTAGGAACAGAAAGCCAAATACCACATATTCTCACCTATAAGTGGCAGCTAAACATTGAGTACACATGGACACAAAGAAGGGAACAATAGACACTGGGGCCTCCTTGAGGGTGGAGGGTGGGAGGAGGGGGAGGATTAAAAAACTACCTATTGGGTATTGTGCTGATTACCTGAGTAACAAAATTATCTGCACACCAAACACCCGTGATACACAATTTACCCATGTAACAAACCTGAATATGTATCCCTTGAACCTAAAAAATCAAAAAGAAAAAAGTAAAAAAGAATTCCTGATCAGATTGAGCCAGGACAATGGCCGGGCGTGGTGGCTCACGCCTGTAATCCCAGCACTTTGGGAGGCCGAGGCAGGTGGTCAGGGTAGGCCTCTTGGAGGAGCCATGTGAGCAGACTTGAGAAGGAGAGAAACAGCCATGCAGATATTTGAAGGAAGAACCTTCCAGTATCCCGCTCTAAGCATACCCAGGACTCTGCTCTGGGGCAGACCCTAAAGCTGCAGTGGAAATGGAGGTGGCCACACTCACAGAGACTGTGGCAGAGAGTGATGGGGATTTGGGTCTCCCCTTCCTGCTGTGGCTGTTAGAAGTGCTGGAGTTGGGGAGGGAAAGGCACTGGCATGTGGAGGAAGACTAGGAGAGGAGGGGAGGCTGAAGTGTGTCCCACTCTCACTCCACCTCTCTGTTCTCTATCTCCTGCATCCGGTGCCTCCCCGACTTCCCCAAAGTTGTGGTCCCTGACAAGGAGGACCCTGAGGGCAACCACACCTTGCCATGTAGAGCACCTGGCTTCTCACTTGCCAACATCACTCTGACCTGGCTGCAGGAAGGGGAGGAGCCAACTCTGGACTCAAGACTCAAGGGGACCAGACCCAGGAAGATGAGACATATCAGGGCTGGGCAGCTGTGGGGGGCCCTCCCAGAGAAGGCCTGAGATACACCTGCCTGCAGGTGCTCCTGGGCCTGGAGAAGCCCCTCAGTGTGACTAGGTGAGGTGTTGTCAGAGGACCAGAGGCTGAGGGTGGGGCGTCCCATCCAGATCCTGCCCCCCTCTCTGCCCCAGCACCCAAGGCCCCTTCCTCCCTCCTCTATGGAGATGCTGGGGATGTCCTCATTCTCCCTCTGAGCACTCACATCTCACCCCTCATCTGTCTCTCTAACCTCCTTCCTTCCTGCTGCAGCTTCTGCCCCAGCCCCAGGCTCTGGCCTCTCTCTCCCCAGTTCCACCCTCCAGGGGGTGATGGTTCACTTCCCTCTGAGGAGCCAGCACTAGGTGAGAGGCTAGGAGAAGGAAAAGCTCATGGGCCATGGGTTGGGAGGGAGAATGGGCACTGAAATGGAAGGGTAGGGAGACAGAAGAGGCAGGTATTTCCAAATCACCATTTTTCTGTCATGGTCCAAGGGTGCCATCCTTCTCCCAGGCCCAGGGATGTGGAAAGAGCAGCAGGAATTGGGAAATACTCCACAGGAAAGAACAATGTGCCTCCTCCCTCCACCGGCTTCTTCCTCTTGTCTATTCTGGTCAATTCTCTAAGTGAATCATGTTACCAAAATGTAAAATGTTTATTTTAGGAAAGTCTCCAAATATTAGGGAATAAAATTACTAGTGCCTAAGCCCTGCATACTGAAAAACAGAAGCTTTAAGAAATAAAGACCTGCATGGAAAATTGCTCATCAACTCGGGGAAGTCAAAGTCTGAGCTGAATCAGCTCTTTTTTTCTTTCTCTTTTTTTTTTTTTTTTTCTTTTTTTGAGACGGAGTCTTGCTCTGTCGCCCAGGCTGGAGTGCAGTGGCATGATCTCAGCTCACTGCAACCTCTGCCTCCCCGACTCAAGCAATTCTCCTGTCTCAGGCTCCCAAGTAGCTGGGATTACAGGCATGCGCCACCATGCCCAGCTAATTTTTGTATTTTTCAGCAGAGACGAGGTTTCGCCATGTTGGCCAGGCTGGTCTCAAACTCCTGACCTCAGGTGATCCGCCTGCCTCAGCCTGCCAAAGTTCTGGGATTACAGGCATGAGCCACCATGCCCAGCTGAATCAGCTCTAAAGTGGTGCTGAAGTGAGAGCCATTTATGTGCCTGTGTGAGTTCCCACAGGTCTTGAGACCTCTGTGTCCTCCTTAGAAGAGTGAAGTGAGCACCCAGTGCCTAGACCTTGGTTGTGATAAGTCATTCTCTGATAAAAGGATTCAGGGCTCCATAGAAAAACAGCTGATTCTAGGGCTGGCATAGGAAAAATATAAGGTGAGCCTGGAACATCTTGTAATGCCAGAAAGTAACCGCCACCCATCTCCCAACCCTCACCACCAAAAAATAAGGGCATGTCAGAGGGACACAGGAGTCAACCTGAAAGAGCTCCCTATGGACAAAGCCGGAATAATCCGAGCAACAAAGTTACAATAGTATTGGATTATGACCCAAAATATAAATAAATATTCATTCCACACTGATTTATTTAATCAAAAATAATTAAATAAATAAATAGGGAAGAAGGGGCAAATCTTCCTTACAGAAGAATTTCAAAACATATATTACGAGAATCTCTTTCCCAGGAGATTGGAATTTTATTTCTCTCACCTTGAATATGGGCTGGACTTGCTGACTTGCTTCCAAAGACTAGAGTATGAAAAAGGAAAAATAATAACTTTACAGTGGAGAAATGTAGCAGACACTACCAAGCAATCAGAGTCATGTTAACATCTTGCCCCCCAGAAATGATGTGATGAGGACACTCCCCTCTATGGTATTCTTCCCTTAAACCCATAACCCCAATCTAATCATAAGGAAGCATCAGGCAAACCCAAAGTGAGGGACATCCTACAAATTATCTATCCAGTATTCTTCAAAACTTTCAAGGTCATGAAAACAGGTAAAGACTGAGAAACTCATGATCAGAAAGACTAGGGAGACCCAAAAGCTAAATGCATTAATGGGCCCTGGAAAAACTGGTGAAGTCCAAATAAAGTCTACAGTTTAGCGAATAGTATTATAGCAATGTTAATTTCTTAGTTTCTTAGTCTTGACAGAATTTTGTTAGATGTTAACATTAAGGAAAGCTGGGGTTTATGGAAACTCTGTGTTCTAGCTTTGCAACTCTTTAAATCTATTATTGTTATTGTTATTGGGTTTTTTTGTTTGTTTTGTTTTTGTTTTTTTTTGAGATGGAGTCTCGCTCTGTCGCCCAGGCTGGAGTGCAATGGCGCGATCTCAGCTCACTGCAACCTCCACCTCCTGGGTTCAAGCAATTGCCCTGCCTCAGCCTCCCCAGTAGCTGGGATTCCAGGCACCCGTCACCACGCTCGGCTAGTTTTTGTATTTTTAGTAGAGATGGGGTTTCGCCATGTTGGCCAGGGTGGTCTCGAACTCCCGACCTCAGGTGATCTGTCCGCCTCGGCCTCCCAAAGTTAAATCTATTATTATTCAAAACAAATTTAACTAAAAGTGAAATGAAGCTAGGTACAGTAGCTCATGCCTGTAATCCCAGCCCTTTGGGAGGCCAATTTAAGCCCAGGAGTTTGAGAGAAGCCTGGGCAACATAGTGAGACCTTGTCTTATAAAAAAAATTAATTTAAAAAATGAAATGAATAGACATATATTAAATAAATTAAATCGATAATTAATAACATTCAGAAACAGAAAACATCAGCCCCAAATGGGTTTACTGATAAATTCTATCAAACATTTAAGGAAAAAATTATACCAATTTTCTATAATCTCTTCCAGAAGACATACTTTCTTTTGTTGTTGTTGTTATTCAGTGTTAATTTCATAATCATAAACTTAATGCTGCAATCCAGCTAGGCATGGAAGGGAACAAGGAAAACATGAAACCCAAAGGGAACTGCAGTGAGAGCACAAAGATTCTAGATACTGCGAGCAGATGGATGGAGGGTGCTCTCCTGAGCTACAGAAGCAATGGTCTAGTGGTTAAGATAAAACACAAGTCAGGCCGGGCACGGTGGCTCACACCTGTAATTCCAGCACTTTGGGAGGCTGACGCAGGTGGGATCACCTGAGGTCAGGAGTTCAAGACCAGCCTGACCAACACGGAGAAACCCCGTCTCTACTAAAAATACAGAATTAGCCAGGTGTGGTGGCGCATGCCTGTAATCCCAGCTACTCGGGAGGCTGAGGCAGGAGAATCGCCTGAACTCAGGAAGCAGAGGTTGCAGTGAGCCGAGATGGCGCCATTGCACTCCAGCCTGGCAACAAGAGCGAAACTCAGTCTCAAAAAAAAAACACAAGTCAAACTTAGTCAAGTTGTGTACAGTCAGCGATGGTGATCTTCTTGATGGTCTTGCCATTCCCAGACCCGAAGTGCTCCATGGCCTCCACAATATTCATGCCATCTTTCACCTTGCCAAAGACCATGGGCTTGCCATCCAACCACTCAGTCTTGGCAGTGCAGATGAAAAACTGGGAATTGCCCGGGCTAGGTGGCTCATGCCGTAATCCCAGCACTTTGGGAGGCCGAGATGGGCAGATCACCTGAGGTCAGGAGTTCAAGACCAGCCTGACCAACATGGTGAAACCCCGTCTCTAATAAAAATACAAATATTAGCCAGGCATGGTGGCGCATGCCTGTAATCCCAGCTACTCAGGAGGCTGAGGCAGGAGAATTGCTTGAACCTGGGAGGCGGAAGTTGCAGTGAGCCAAGATCGCGCCACTGCACTCCAGCCTGGGCGACAGAGTTAAGACTCCATCTCAAAAAAAAGAGAAAAAAGAAAAACCGGGAATCATTTGTGTTGGGTCCAGCATTTGCCATGGACAAGATGCCAGGACCTGTATGCTTTAGGATGAAGTTCTCATCATCAAATTTCTCCCCGTAGATGGACTTGCCACCAGTGCCATTATGGCGTGTGAAGTCACCACCCTGACACATAAACCCTGGAATAATTCTGTGAAAGGAGGAACATTTATAATCAAATCCTTTCTCTCCAGTGCTCAGAGCACGAAAGTTTTCTGCTGTCTTTGGAAACTTGTCTGCAAACAGCTTGAAGGAGACACAGCCCAAGGGCTCACCATTGACAGTGATGTTGAAGGACACGGTGGGGTTGACCATGGCTGATAGTATGGGGCTCCTGATGGTGGCGTCTGCAAAGCCAAGACAGACACTTTCTATCTCATTTCATGAGGCCGGGATTCCATGAGGGAATACTTTCTAACTAATTCCATGAGGCCAGCGTTAGCCAAATACCAAAATCAGATGAAGACTTCACAAAAAAAGAAAACCACAGACCAATATCTCTCATGAACATAGGTGCAAAAATCCTCAGCAAAATGCTAGCAAATCAAATCCACAATGTATGAGAAGAACAATACACCATGCCTAAGTAAGATTTATCCCAGGTATGCAAAGTTACTTCAACATTGGAAAATCAGTTAATGTAATCCATTAAATCAACTGGCTAAAGAAGAAAATCACATGATCATATCAATAGAGGCAGAAAAAGCAATTGACAACATCCAACACCCATTCATGATGATTAAAAAAAAAAAAATCTCTTAGCAAGCTAGGAATAGAGAAGACCTTACTCAACTTGATAAACAACATCCACAAAACTTCCACAGCTAACATCACACTTAATGGTGAGAAACTAAAAGCTTGCCTGCTAAGATCAGAACAAGGCAGGAATGACCCTCTCAACACAGCTTTTCAACGTTGTACTGGAAGTCCTAGCTAAAGTAGTAAGACAAGAAAAGGAACTAAAAGGTATACAAATTTGGAACAAGAAATAAAACTGTCTTTGTTTACAGACGATATGATTGTCTATGTAGAAAATCAAAAAGAATCCACACATAAAAAACTCCTGGAACTAACAAGCAATTATAGCAAGGTTGCAGGATATAAAGTTAATATGTAAAAGCCAATCACTTTTCTATGTATCAGCAATGAGCATGTAGAATTCGCCATTTAATTTTTTTTTTTTCAAGACGGAGTCTTGTTCTGTCGCCCAGGCTAGAGTGCAGTGGCGCGATCTCAACTCACTGCAACCTCCTCCTCCCAGGTTCAAGCAATTCTCCTGCCTCAGCCTCCTGAGTAGCTGGGATTACAGGTGTGCCCCACCATGCCCAGCTAATTTTTGTATTTTTAGTAGAGACGGGGTTTTACCATGTTGGCCAGGCTGATCTCGAACTTCTGACCTCATGTTCTGCCTGCCTCAGCCTCCCAAAGTGCTGGGATTACAGGCGTGAGCCACCGTGCCTGGTCCAGAATTTGCCATTTAAAACACAATACCACTTACATTAGCACCCCCAAAAATGAAACACTTAGGTACAAATCTAAGAAAATATGTACAAGATCTATATGAACAAAACTACAAAACTGACAAAAGAAATCAAAGAACTAAACAAATGGAGAGATATTCCATGTTCATAGTCAGGAAGGCTCAATACTGTTAATATATCTGTTCTTTCCAACTTGATCTGTGGAATGAATGCAATCTCAATAAAAAACCTCAGTAAGTTATTTTGTGGATATTAACAAACTGATTCAAACTTTATATGGTGAGGCAAAAGACCTAGCCAGCACAATATAGGAGAAAAATAAAGTCAAAGACCACCACTACCTGACTTAGACTTTCTATAAAGCCATAGTAATCAAGACAGAGTGGTGATTAGCATAGCCATTGTGGGAAACGGTATGGAGGTTCTGCAAAAATTTTAAAAATAGAAATACCACATGATCCAGCAATCCCACTAATGGGTATATATCCAAAGGATATGAAATCAGTACGTTGAGATATTTGCACTCCCATATTCATTGCATCATTATTCTTTTTTTTTTTTTTTTTTCCTTTAGAGATAGAGTCTATGTTGCCCAGGGCAACTCCTGGCCTCAAGCGATCCTGCTGTCTCAGCTTCCCAATTATCTGGGATTATAAGCACGAGACACTGCACCTGGCTGCAGCATTATTCTCAATAGCCAAGATATAGAATCCACCTAAGTGTCCATCAATGGATGAATGGATAAAGAAAATGTGGTATATATAAAAAATGGAATACTATTCAGCCTTAAAAAACAAAATCCTGTCATTTGTGACAACATGGATGAACCTGGAAGACATTATGTTAAGTGAAATAAGCCAGGCACAGAAAGACAAATACAATCTCACTTATATGTGGAGTATAGAAAAAGCCAGACTCATAAATAGAGAGTAAACTGGTGGTTATCAGAGGCTGGGAGGTCGGGGAATTGGGGAGATGTTAGTCAAAGAACACAAGATTTCAGTTAGGAAGAATAAGTTCAAGAGATCTATTGTACCTTATGGTGACTAAACTTAATAACAACATATTGTGTATTTCAAAATAGTATGAGAATAGCTTTAAGCATTCTCATCACATACACACAAAATATGTATGTGAGGTAATATACATATTATTAAATTGTTTGGTTTATCCATTCCACAATGTGTGTGTATGTATGTGCATATATATATAAACATGATGTACACCACAAATGTATAAAATTAGTCAATCGAAAAATTAATTTTAGAAAGACAGAGTGGCATTGGCAAAGAATAGACAAATTGATCCACTTGAGCAGAATAGAGAGCCAAGAAATAGTCCCACATAAATACAAGGAGCAAAGACAATACAATAAAGATAGTCTTTTCAGCAAATGCTGCTGGAACAACTGGACAGCCATGTACAAGAAAAATGAAAAGAGCTCTCTTAAAAGGTTACTGTGAAAGCCACCTGTGACAGTAACAGAAAGTGCCCAGAAGGGTCTCTGACACTTAGTAATGTAATCTCTCTCACTGTAATGTAATGGCTAAACTTCAACATCCCTCAGCCCCCATCTCCATAAGACTTTCCCATAGAGGCAACAATGATTCCTGTCAGTCACCCAGTCCTGCCAATCCACTGGGTAGGATACAATATTGAGGGGCCCATCAGCACACTGGCCTTAGGGGGCTCTGCAGCCCCTTGACCTTGTGGATGATGCTGGCCTTAATCTCCTCTTGTCCGTGGCTAAAGACAGGCCCCTTCTGCGGAGGCCAGGCCAGAATGCTCATCTGATTAAGACTCTATATTAAGAGTCAGGAATAACAAAAACAACAATAAATAAATAAACACAGTAACATAATCTATGTGTCTTAGTCCGTTTCCTGCCGCTATAACAGAATAATACAGACTGGGTAATTTATTTTGTTGTTTTTTCAGACAGGGTCTCTCTCTGTCGCTCAGACTGGAGTGCAGTGGCATGATCTCGACTCACTGCAACCTCCACCTCCCAGACTCAAGTGATCCTCCCACCTCAGCCTCCTAAATAACTGGGACCACAGACCCGCACGACCACACCAGCTAATTTTTGTGTTTTTTTGTAGAGATGGGTTTTGCCATGTTGCCCAGGCTGGTCTCAAACTCCTGGGCTCAAGCCTTCCACCCACCTTGGCCTCCCAAAGTGCTGGGATTACAGGCTTGAGCCACCACACCCAGCACAGACTGGGTAATTTATAAAGAAAATAAATGTTTTTCCCACAGAGCTGGAGGCTGAGAAGTCCAAGAGCATGACACTGGCATCTTATGAGGGCCTGGCTGCAGTATCATCCCATAGTGAGAGGTGGAAGGGCAAAGAGGCTGAACTGATTTCTATCATGCCATACAATGGCATTAATCTATTCAATCTAATCAACCCTGAAAGGTCCCACATCGGCTGGGCACGGTGGCTCATGCCTGTAATCCCAGCACTTTGGGAGGCCAAGGCAGGTGGATCGCCTGAGGTCAGGAGTTCAAGACCAGCCTGACCAATATGATGAAACCCCGTCTCTACTAAAAATACAAAAATTAGCTGGGCGTGGTGGCATGTGCCTGTAATTCCAGCTACTCAGGAGGCTGAGACAGGAGAATCACTTGAACATGGGAGGCGGAGGTTGCAGTGAGCTGAGATTGTGCCATTGCACTCCAGCCTGGGCAACAAGAGCGAAACTCCATCTCAAAAAAAGAAAAAAAAAAGTCTTGCATCTTAATACCATTAGGATAGCAATTAAATGTCAACACGAGTTTTGGTGGGGACATTCAACTTTAGCACTAGGTATTCTGGTTTATGTATTTTTTTAGCTTAATTCCTTCATTTCTACAATTATGAGATCCACGATTATCCACTATATTTGGTTTTCTTTCTTTTTGGTTTTGTTTTTTGTTTTTTGAGACAAGAGTCTCGCTCTGTCGCCAGGCTGGAGTGCAGTGGCATGATCTCAGCTCACTGTAACCTCTGGCTCCCGGGTTCAAGTGATTCTCCCGCCTCAGCCTCCCGAGTGGCTGGGACTACAGGCGTGCACCACCATGCCTGGCTAATTTTTGTATTTTTAGTAGAGACGGGGTTTCACCATGTTGGCCAGGATGGTCTCGATCTCTTGACCTCATGATCCGCCCGCCTCGGCCTCCCAAAGTGCTGAGATTACAGGTGTGAGCCACTGCGCCTGGCCTCATCCACTATATTTGAACCGACCCAAAGGCCAGTGCTTTCTTAATTAAGTTCCCACAGGTGAACAAAGCCAAAATTCAGATTCTATTTTATTTATGGTTTAGAATTACCTACTGTGAAAAAAAAAAAAACTAGCTACTATAAATTATTGGGGGTTAGTCCATTTAGTCCATTTTGGAGTTCATAACCTAAAGCAGAAACTCACATGGTTGAAATGTCACTTTCCCAAAGGATTGTTATTAGTGTATCATTTAGATTGTCTTGCAAAAGTCTCATTTGTTGTTTTTTCTAAATGGCTGCTAATCTTTTAAATTAACAGATAGAGGGCCAGGCACGGTGGTTCACACCTGTAATCCCAGCACTCTGGGAGGCTGAGGCAGTCGGATCACTTGAGGCCAGGTGTTCAAGACCAGCCTGGCCAACATGGTGAAACCCTGTCTGTACTAAAAATACAAAAATTAGCTCGGCATAGTGGCACACGTCTGTAATCCCAGCTTCTTGGGAGGCAGAGGCATAAGAATTGCTTGAACCCGGCAATCGGAGGTTCCAGCAAGCAGAGATTGTGCCATTGCACTCCAGCCTGGGTGACAGAGCATTGCTCTGTCCACCTCCCAAAAATGTAGTTAATTTTTTTTCTTTTCTTTTTTTTTTTTTTTTTTTTTTTTGAGAGACGGAGTCTTGCTCTGTCGCCCAGGCTGGAGTGCAGTGGCACAATCTCAGCTCACTGCAACCTCCGCCTCCCAGGTTCAAGCAATTCTCCTGCCTCAGCCTCACAAGTAGCTGGGATTACAGGTGGCTACCACCACGCTTAGCTAATTTTTTGTATTTTTAGTAGAGACGGGGTTTCATCATGTTCGCCAGGCTAGTCTTGAACTCCTGACCTTAAGTGATCCCCCTGCCTCGGCCTCCCAAAGTGCCGGGATTACAAGCATGAGCCACTGCGCCCGGCCAACTTTCAATGTTAATTAGTTGTGGATTGTTTAACCATATACTGCATAGTTTCGCTTATCTATAATAACAGTAGTTTGGGGCTCTTATATTCTAATAATTAAGACTTTAGCTGTGTACACATTGCAATTAAAGTATGAGTCATGCATAACCTTATCACCAAGATACAAGAGGGAAAGCCCTTCTCCCCTAAAACTTTTACAAAGGTTCTGGGTTCTTTTTCCACTTAAGTGGGAAAAAGTCAGCTAATGAGGAACGTAAAGTCTTTGGCCTCATCTAAAGGTGCTTTGGCCCGCAAGTGTGAGAAGCACTGACCGCTGGGAAGTCCTCACTGCCTGGTTCCTGGACTCTTACACCATGGCAGAGGCCATCTTCCCTCCCAATGCAGAGTGATATCCAGATAGCGAGCTGGCTAGCAGCTGTCCACTCTCCAGCAATCCTGCCTTCTGGGGCATGGTTTTCTAAGGACCTTCCTGTTCCTAGATGATCAAAATTGGGACCAGCCACTCCCTTCTGAGCCACTCCTGCCTCTGGGCCTGTGGCTATGTCACAGTCCAGTCACAACAGGACATCCCTTCAGAACACCCTGCAGGAAGCTGACATCTCTATGCAGACTCACACATGCACGGTGTGTGCACAGGCCTTTGGTTCTACTTCAGGAGGTGTTGGGGGAGGCTCACTAGTCCAACAGAACTTGAGGCCAGTTGTACCAGTGTCATATCCCAGGAGCCAAGGTTACAAGGGATACAAAGTGCCCAGACCTACCAGAGAAGGCAAACCCCTACAGCATGCAGGGCTAGACAGGGGCAAGAAACAAGGTCATTCTGGGCCAGCAAGAAGAGGGAAAGGGAAATGACAGGCATACCTCGGAGATACTGAAGATTTGTTTCCAGACCATAGCAACAAAGTGAGTCACACAAACTTTTTAGTTTCCTATTGTGCATAAAAGTTATGTTTGTACTATATTGTAGTCTGTTAAGTGTACAGTAGCATTGTGTACAAAAAACTGTGTATATACTTAATGGAGTCTCGCTCTGTCACCCAGGCTGGAGTGCAGTGCCACGATTTTGGCTCACTGCAACCTCCGCCTCCTGAGTTCAAGCCATTCTCCTGCTCAGCCTCCCAAGTAGCTGGGACTACAGGTGCCCATCACCATGCCCAGCTAATTTTTGTATTTTTAGTAGAGATGAGGTTTCACCATGTTGGCCAGGCTAATCTTGAACTCCTGACCTCAAGTGATCCACCCACCTCGGCCTCCCAAAGTGCTGGGATTACAGGCGTGAGCCACTGTATCTGGCCATATACTTTAATTTTAAAATACTTAATTGCTAAACAAATGCTAACCATCATATGAGGCTTCAGCTAATCCTGATCTTTTTGCTGGGGGAGGGTCTTGCCTCCATGGATCAGGGGCATGGCTGCTGAAGGCTGCTTTGACAACTTCTTAAAATAAGACAATGATGTTTGCCATTTGCCGCATGGATTATTCCTTTCAATATTGTTGTGCCTCAGGGAATAGGGAGGCCTGGAAAGCAGAGTCGGGAGAATGGCCAGTTGGTGAAGCAGTCACAACACACACATTTTTCCATTAAGTTTGCTGTCTTATATGAGCATCGCTCATGGTGTCCCAAAACAATCACAATAGTTAACTTCAGTAACTGATTACAGGTCACTGTAACAAGTATAATAATGAAAACGCTTGAAACATTTTGAGAATTCCACAGCGTGACATGGAGACATGATGTCTGCCTGCTGTTGGGAAAATAGCACCAATAGACCTGTTTGATGTGCTTGACACAGGGTTGCCACAAGCCTCCAATCTCTAAATAAAAAACAGCATCTGCAAAGAGCAATAAAGGGAAGCACAATAAAAGGTACATCTGCAAAGGGGAATCAGCACTTAAGCAAGGTCAGGATGAGCTTTCAAGTCAGGTGGACCTAGACATGAACCCTCCAGGCCCTACCAACAACCAGCTGTGGACCTTCGAGCACATCCAGCCTAGAGCTGCCCCCAACAGACACTTCCCCAGTGAATGCTGAATGAAACCATCTGAGCCAGTTTCCTCAGGTGCAAACCAGTGAGGTAATTCCTACCTTGCAGAGTGAAGTGAGAAAACAGTGTTAAGAAAAAGGCATGCCGGGTGCGGTGGCTCACGCCTGTAATCCCAGCACTTTGGGAGGCCAAGACGGGCGGATCACGAGGTCAGGAGATCGAGACCACCCTGGCTATTACGGTGAAACCCCGTCTCCACTAAAAATACAAAAAATTAGCCGGGCGTAGTGGCGAGCACCTGTAGTCCCAGCTACTCGGGAGGGTGAGGCAGGAGAATGGCGTGAACCCGGGAGGCAGAGCTTGCAGTGAGCCCAGATTGCGCCACTGCACTCCAGCCTGGGCAACAGAGCGAGACTCCGTCTCAAAAAAAAAAAAAAAAAAAGACACAAGACCTGTGGTAGCCTTTCCTTTCTGTCTGGCAGCAGCCACTGGGTAAACCAAGATGGTGCATACAAGTACATCCAGAAGCTATGGAAGAAGCAGTCTGATGTCATGAGCTTTCTTCTGAGGGTCCGCTGCTGGCAGTACCACCAGCTCTCTGCTCTCCACAGGGATCCCCGCCCCACCCAGCCCAATAAAGCACGCTACTGGGCTACAGCCAAGCAAGGTTATGTTACATATAAGCGCCACGGTGGCTGAAAATCTAGTTCCTAAGAAGGCAACTTAACAGCAAGCCTGTCTATCATGGTGTTAACCAGCTAGTTTGCTTAAAGCCTTCAGTCTGTTACAGAAGAGCAAGCTGGATGCCACTGTGGGGCTCTGAGTCCTGAATTCTCACTGGGCTGGTTAAAGATTCCACATACAAAGTTTTTGAGGCTATCCTAGTTGATCCATTCCATAACACTATCAGAAGGAAACCTGACACCCAGTGGTCCACAACAAGCATAGGGAGATGCGTAGGCTATCTGCAGGCCAAGAGAGCCACGGCCTTGGAAAGGGCTGTAAGTTCTACCACACTATTGGTGGTTCTCGCCATGCAGCTTGGAGAAGGTGCAATACTCTCCAGCTCCACAGCTACCGCTAATGTTTGTAAAATTCATACCTAATAAACACTAGATCAAAAAAAAAAAATCACAGACCTGTGGTAGGCTGGGCACCAGTGCTCTAAAGCAAGTTCTGCCTAAACTGGCAGGGACATTTTTCACATCAGGAACAGGAGTTGTTCCTGGACTCTGTCTGGGGCCAGGCTGGGAGAGACGTGGGGCAGAGTGGGGCAGGGGCAGGGGCAGGGCTGGGGGCTGGGGCCTGGGCAGGGCCAGGCACTCAAGTGAGGCCAAGTCCTGGAGCGAACCAGTTCCTGGTGGCCGTTGGACAGCTCACACAGCTCCCGGCCAGGTCACCCGCGATGGTCCTCCCTCTGCCCTGGCTCTCTCGGTACCATTTCCTTCGCCTCCTTCTGCCCTCCTGGTCCTTGGCACCCCAGGGCTCCCATGGGTGCTGCTCCCAAAACCCCAAAGCAAGCATGGAAAAGCAGACCAACTCCAGAGGAAATGGGAAGATGACGTCCCCTCCCAGGGTAAGTGGCACCACAGGTAGGAACAGAGGGTGTGAGAATTTACACTGGGGTGTGGGAAAAAAAAACCCTCAATCCCACCCTGCACCACCCCACACCATGCCTACCCCTGCAGCTCTTTTCTTAGTTCAGCTACCAACTCCTCTCCCCACCTCCCCCAGCCCAGACCTCAGGGTTCCCTTCCCTCACCCCACCCCCACCCACAACAGCACAGTCCACAAAGTCCTTGAACAGGATCTATTCCCCCTCACCTAACAGTTAATTATTTCTTAGCGGGGAGGAGCGGCTGATCCTCTTTCCAGTGACCCCATATCCTTGTTCAAGGAAGCCAGTTACAGCCCCTGGGCCAGGGAACTCTATTTGCTCCCCCTACTACCACCCACAGGCCTATGCCCAAGACAGGAAGCTACCTGGCCTTCTCAGTACAGGTGTCCTTAAATGACCGGTTCAAAAACGAATAGGGAAGGTGGAATTTCTCACTTCCAGCCACAGCCTGCGACAAAGCTTCCCAGGGCCTCGGCCCCCTGCCCTGGCTGATGCTCCCTCCCTTAATTCCCTGACCAGGGCCCTGGGACCCACCGCACAGCTGAGCTGGCCCGAGCTGAAGAGTTGTTGGAGCAGCAGCTGGAGCTGTACCAGGCCCTCCTTGAAGGGCAGGAGGGAGCCTGGGAGGCCCAAGCCCTGGTGCTCAAGATCCAGAAGCTGAAGGAACAGATGAGGAGGCACCAAGAGAGCCTTGGAGGAGGTGCCTAAGTTTCCCCCAGTGCCCACAGCACCCTCCGGCACTGAAAATACACGCACCACCCACCAGGAGCCTTGGGATCATAAACACCCCAGCGTCTTCCCAGGCCAGAGAAAGTGGAAGAGACCACAAACCGCAGGCAATTGGCAGGCAGTGGGGGAGCCAGGGCTCTGCAGTCTTAGTCCCATTCCCCTTTGATCTCACAGCAGGCAGGGCACCCAGGCCTTATAGGAATTCACCCTGGACCATGCCCTAAAATAACCTCACCCCAAATACAATAAAGGGACGAAGCACTTATAGATACCACAGACACATGTGTTTCATTTTTAGTTTTGTTAAAAAAAAATTCTGACAAATCAGAAATGGGGGTTCAGGAGTGGTGGTGATGCAAAAGATGGAAGCCATGGGGTGGGGGCTGTCAGGGGTGGGGGCAGTAGTGTCTCCTTCACCCCCACCCTGGTGTCCTCTCCTGAAGGACAGACGGTCACATTCCAAAATGGGCGAGTCTTCTACCGTGTCTGTTCAACTGAGAAGAAAACGTAGCATGGTCAGAATAAGGCATGAAAAGGGGAAAGTGAGGCAGGAACACACGGCACACATGCAGACACTGGTGTACTGCCTGGGTTCAGAGGACGGACGTGGGGGTGAGGGAAGGGATGTAATATGATGAGAGAAGACAGAAACCCCACATAAAGGTCAGAAAAACATCCCAACACAGCATCAAAGACCAGGGGGCATGAACCAGTCAAGTGTCCATTATGCATCAGATGCCCATGACCTATGTGATGGGATTTAGGACAAACACACTAAGGAACAGGGAGGACCTAAAGGGTTTCATGAGATCAGTACTCACTGTAGGAGGAGATGTCTATCTCATCAGGCAGCTCACTAATATTGACCTCAAAGCGATCCTGCACATCATTGAGGATCTTGGCATCATTCTCATCGGACACAAATGTGATAGCCAAGCCCTTGGTGCCAAACCGGCCTGCTCTGGCCACCTGGAGGGAGACAGAGGGTAGCACTGGAAGACCAAAGAGGAAAGAGACCCAGAGGCAGGAATGAAGATGTACAAACAGAAAACAAGGGAATGGGAGAGTGGGATTTTTTCAGCCTGTGAGGTTTACCCGATGCAGGTAGGTGTCAGAATCCTCAGGCATGTCATAATTAAAAGCAATGTTCACCCGCTCGATGTCCATGCCTCGGCCAAATAGGTTGGTAGCCACAAGAATTCGTCGTTGAAAATCTTTAAACTGCTGATACCGAGAAAGCCTTTGTGAGAAAGGAAATTTAAAACATGTTGAGATTCCCTTCTCTCAACTGTCTTTTTCTCCCAAGGACACAAAATATCTTTCCCATCTTCAGCTCACCTCTCCTCCTGGGGCATCCCACGGTGGATGGCAATGGCTGGGAAGTTCTGCTCCACTAGTAGCTGGGCCAAGGCAATGCACCGCTGCACAGACTTCACAAAGATCACCACCTGTTGTGGGGTGGGGTGGGGGGTCGCAAATTGGGGGAATAGGGGTCCATGGTGTGTGAGAGACATTACGTGGGAGAGGGGAGTTTCTAGTAATTACGTTCTCAGGAATTCCTCTTCATTTCTCTTATTCCCCCACTATATATTTAGAGCAGAAAAGGAAATATAACTTTATTTCAGCACTGATTTTTCCCTAAGGAAGCTGGCCTCTGAGGTAGCACAGAGTTCAGAAATCAAAATTGCCAGACATGCTAGGAGATGAGGATGAGATCACCTCATGAAAAAGTGATAAAAAACTAGAATTAAGATCTGGAGGGGTAACTGATATTCCTGCTCACCAAAACATTAAACCTAAGGGAGCTATCCTAATTCTAGAAAGCAGTTTTAAATGCAAATAGACCACTCACAAGTATATTAATTAAACACTTTTTTGAGATGGGGTCTCACTCTGTCCCCCAGACTGGAGTGCAGTGGTGCAATCGCAAGTCACTGCAGCCTCCACCCTCCTGGGTTTAAGAGATCCTTCCACCTCAGCATCCCAAGCAGCTGGGACCACAGGTGCACACCACCACGCCCAGCTACTTTTTTTATTTTTTATTTTTACTATTTGTAGAGACGGGCGTCTCCCTATGTTACCCAGGCTGGTCTTGAAGTCCTGGGCTCAAGCAATGCTCCTGCCTCAGCCTCCCAAAGTACTGGGATTATGGGCATGAGCCACTGCCCTGCACCCAGTCAGAAATGCTTCTCTTGAATAAGCAGTTATTAGAGGAATTAAACATTCAAGAACCCTAACATGCCCCCAAACATCGTTTCAAGACTTTTAACAACTTCCTAAAATCCTTCAAGGACTTTTGGAGACAAGATCTCACTCTGTTGCCCAA
This sequence comes from Homo sapiens, assembly GCF_000001405.40. Classification (NCBI taxonomy): domain Eukaryota; kingdom Metazoa; phylum Chordata; class Mammalia; order Primates; family Hominidae; genus Homo; species Homo sapiens. Next base: position 2,874,226 of record NT_167247.2, read on the forward strand.
GCTGGAGCACAGTAGTGCAATCATAGTTCACTGCAGCCTCAATTTCCTGGGCTCAAGCTATCCTCTCACCTCAGCCACCAGAGTATCTGGGACTACAGGCATACACCACCACACCTGGCTAATTTTTTTCTTCTTTGGTAGTGATGAAGTTTCGCCATGTTGCCCAGACTGGTCTCAAACTCCTGGACTCAAGTGATCCACCTCCCTCAGCCTCCCCAAGTGCTGGGATTACACACATAAGCCACCGTGCCTGGCCAAGGATCTTAATTTTTGAAGTTTATTTTCCTTGAGGTTATTGAGGACATACCCGTGCCAGCCATAGAATAGAAAAGCAGCTCCCACCTTACTCATGCTCAGCCCCTAAGATATTTATACCCTCATTATTCTCTCCCACATCACACATGTGATTTCCTCAATAAAAGTGTACTTAATATCCAGGTTTCTGCTACAGCTGGAGTGCTCCAATGCTCATCCCCCTACTGGACGTCTAACTGACCTGGTTGAACTCAAGGACATCCAGAAGGTCAAAGAGCTTCCGGTTCTTCTCGTTGTCCTTCAGTTTCACGTAGTACTGCTGCAACCCATGCAGCGTCAACTTCGTCTCATCATCCACGAAGATCTCCATTGGCTGGGGGGGAGGAAGGGGGTGGGGAACGGGAGGAGGGCAGAGTGGGGGGGTTAAACCTGGGGGGGTGGAGGAAGTTGATCTCCAATACACCCCATGGGGGGATGGGGAGGAAAGAGAAGATTGAAAACCCCACCCCACTCCCAAAAATACCCACATTTTACTGTGGTCTCTCTCACATTACATCTAATTTCCTTCCTATCAGATGAGTTTTAAGACTGCCCAACTAAAAACTATCATGGGAAAGAAACTGCAAATGAAGTCAAGGAGCAGTGAAACCACCCAATGGCACAGATGCCATTACCTCAAATAGAGGTGGGAGAGGAAAGAAAATGGGAGATGATTCTCAAAGGGAGAGCAAGGACCAAACATCTGGGAAATGATGGGAGGCAGTGACTCAAGGTCAGAATAACTCCATCAGAGGTGCTTCTAAGAACATGGGGTGGGGGGAGGACAACTGCTCCATTTGATTCTCCTACTTCAACTAAGAGAATCTCGTGTGCATTAGCAAAGTGGATGTCTTTTAAGATCAGAATGCTGCAATGGACAGTCAAAATGCCACTTAAGGAGAAACAAAAATTACTCAAGATGAGTTACTTGCCGTCAGACCACAACAGGATAGTTTTAGATGAGACTGGTCTCTTGACTAAGAATTAAACCATCTACAGGTTTACAGGAAAGGTATCAGTAAGTGGTGTTAAAATACCAAATTCAGAGCAGCAGATACGCTTTTAAGGGACAGGATCTCACCATGTTGCCCAGGCTGGAGTGCAGTGGCTATTCACTGGCACAATCATAGCACACTATAGCCTCAAATTCCTGGGCTCAAGTGATCCTCCTGCTTCAGTCTCCTGAATAGCTGGGACTACAGGCACACACCATTATACCTCACTGCATTCATCTTTAAAATTAAAAAACCCCCTGAAGGGGAGGAAAGTAACAAAGACAGAAATTACCACAACTCCAAAGCCCAACTTTCCTAACACTTTTTATACTATCCTGGGGGAAGATAGTTAATATGAAGACCCAGAGGACAAAATAGGAAAGGATGTGTGTGTCATGGGAAAAAAACCAGAAGCCCAATCCCAGAAGGCAGGTTTTGTTTTTTGTTTTGTTTTGATACAGGGTCTCACTCTATCACCCAGGCTGGAGTACAGTGGCACAATTACAGCTTACTGCCACCTCCACGTCCCGGGCTCAAGCAAACCCTCCTGCCTCAGCTTCCCAAGTAGCTGGGACTACAGGCATGCGCCACCACGCCCGGTTTTTCTGGTAGAGACAAAGTCTCACTACACTGCCCCAGCTAGTCTCAAATTCCTGGGCTCAAGCAATCCTCCCACCTTGGCCTCCCAAAGTGCTGGGATTAGAGGTGAGCCACCAGGCCCAGCCAAGGCAGGCTTTCTAAAGAGAAGTTCCATGGCCTCCTTCAAATCTCATTCTAGCCCCAAATACAGCTAAAGAGTGATCATCCCACGGGAAGGAACACTGCAGGGAGGGGAAGAACACACTCCACTGCTTATGCAATTGGCCCCACCTAGCCCCAAACCCTAACAACCACCCGATTACATCCACTTTACCTTTCCTATGTCCCTCTCCTCTGAGTATTAAAAAAAACAAAAAAATTTTTTTAAGAAAAAAAATCTACCACCCCATTCAGGACACCCCTCCCCAACACATATTGGGGGAAACGGGGCACGGCACGCGTTGGGTTCAGGAAAAAAACCGGGAACGGAAAAAGAGGCTGGTTTGGTCCTCAGCTTCCTGGTCAGGTTTCCCCGCGGCCTCCGCTGCCGCCATCCACCGCTGGGTGCCGTCTGCATTCCCTCGCCGCGCCACGGTGCTTCTCTGTTGCCGGCTCACATCAACCGAGGTTCCAGATGGGTGCAAGGAGATGTGGGTGGGAAGGAGTAGGGTATCGGGGATTGAGGTGCCAAAGGCCCCCACCCCTGGAGGTGGGGAAGGGGAGGATTCATTTGTGCTGATGCTCTTCTTTTGGACATGCCCTGCCATCTGTCTGTCCCTCTCTTGCTCTCCTGCCACCGGGAAGTAGGAGTTTTGGTGAGCAGAAGGCTCCAGCTGTATGCTCGATGCCACCTTGAGGGTGCGTGGCTGTAGGGTGCATGTAAGAGACGATGGATGGGTGGGTGGTAGGGCAGAAAAATCCTGCCCTCCCCCGAAGGGAGAAGAGGTTCAAAAATGTTGTGATTTATGAAAAAGTCGAACACTACCCGCTCTCACATTAACCCGACCAAGTCTTCCGGAGTTTCCCTGGCACCCGCGCAGGCCCTAACACTAGCTGTCTCTGCTTCTGTATGTCTCTTCAAGGAGTCATTACTCCCAGTTGGGCACAAGCCGCCTTCTTGGCACTTGAATGACAAGGGAGTCTGAGGAAGAGGGCGAGGAAGGGGAGGAGGCAGCGGGCGGGGAGTGGAGGGAGAGAAGGTAGAAGGGTATTTACATCTTGCATGAACTTGCGGCAGACTGGACGGATCTCTTTGCTCAAGGTAGCACTGAACATCATGACCTGCTTCTCGTGGGGGGTCATGCGAAAAATTTCCTGGACATCCCGACGCATGTCTACAAGAACAAGGAAAAAAATTGTAGGAGAAAATAAGCAGGTATGATAAACAAAGATTAGAGGTAGACTTCCCAGTGAGGTGAAGATTGCTGGAAATAGTAACAACACAATGGAAAGAGCAATGGACTTGGAATCAAGAAGTGGGATCAGATTCCAGCTGTTTGTTTTAACCAAGCAAGAAATAAGGTAAAACCCCAAAGTTCCCAACTATGAAATGGGGATAAAGCCCAGTGCAGAGGCTCTCAAGGCCTTCAAAACATGCTTTATGGGACCTTCTCCCAACCCTTTCCTGCCCAAGCCCCAGCCAGCCTTCAGCAGACTACAAATATCAAGCACATATTATATTCCAGATATCAGAGTCCATCTATGACTCTCTGGATTACTTTTCTATCAAGTCAGGCAAATATGACATCCCTACCTGGAGCCCACCTTTATAGCTCACCATATAGAATTGCCAAAGATCATTTGTAATGACTTATGGGGCCTATGTCCAACCCCACTCTCATTCACCAAGATTCAATTCTTACAGAAAAATCTTCCATTAACCCCACCTGGCACACTAGAATACCACATCACACAAACTGCTACAAACACTCTCTACATTAATCCCAGACCTGAGTCTAGACACTTATTCAGCTATAAATTCTGACTGTAAATGCTGTGCTGGAGATGCCAGAAGGGTACTGTCTTCTCTTTCAGTTTAGAATCTCCCCTATGACTCCCAGTATATGAATCTATAATGAAAACGGTGGTGGTGGTGATGACTTATGCCTAAAATTATCAAAGTCCCCTATTCTCAAAGGTTAAAAACAAAAATCATAGAAAGATGATAGATGACACCCTTTACTGTGCTTAAAAGCATAATAAAGACCAACCAGGGAACCCAGAGCCATCAGTCATGGGTGATAGATAAGAGTCGTCCTTGCACTGAGGTGCTCCTGTTTCAAATAAACATCATTTGGCTCCAAAGAACAACTCCCCAGCATTAGCCAAGCCCCAGCACTGCCACTCACCGAGCTGTTCAAGCATCTTATCACATTCATCCAAAATAAAGTGTTTAATGTGTTTGAGGTTGAGGCTCTTATTTCGAGCCAGGGCTAGGATACGGCCTGGAGTCCCCACGACGATATGCGGGCAGTTCTTCTTCAGCACCTCTTCATCCTTCTTGATAGACAGACCACCAAAAAAAACAGCAACCTGCCGAGCCAGAAGCAAAGAGTCTCAAAACAGAGGAAGGAAAGAGTCCAATCCCCCCAGGGTTCCCACTCTGTTTGAGCTAAACCAATTTTTAGCATGTTTCCAAACTAAAACTAACTTTAGAGGTCACCTAATTTAAAAATTTTATGTCCCCCCCACCAAACACTGAGGGTGATTGCCTAAAGTTACATGGCTAGTCGGAGCAGTCAGGACAATAATTCAGTTCTACTGACTTAATCTAACCAACTTCCTTCATTTATGAGGCCAGGCTTCATTTAAAAAATAAAGGAGCCAGGTGTGGTGGCACACGCCTATAATTCCAGCTACTCAGGAGGCTGAGGCACGAGAACCTGGGAGGCAGAGGTTGTGGTGAGCCAAGATCCCACCGTTGTACTCCAGCCTGGGCAACAAGAGTGATACTCCATCTCAAAAAGAAATAAAATAAATAAAAATAAAATAAAGCCAGGCCCAGTGGCTCACGCCTGTAATCCCAGCAGTTTGGGAGGTCAAGGAAAGTGGATCACTTGAAGCCAGGAGTTCAAGACCAGCCTGGCCAACACGGTGAAACCCCATCTCTACTAAAATACAAAATTTACAAATTTACTACTAAAAAACAAAAAATACAAAATTTAGCCGGGAGGCTGAGGCAGGAGAATCGCTTGAACCCGGGAGGTGGAGATTGCAGTGAGGCGAGATTGAGCCACTGTACTCCAGCCTGGATGACAGAGCGAGACTCCATCTCAAAAAATAAAAAATAAATAAATAAAGGACAGCAAGAAATCACCAGATTAGTGTAAAGTACCACAAAAAACACATGGAACATTAAGGTTTCCTAAATAAACCCAGAATCTCAAACTCTTTTCACACAAACCCCATGAAATTACTGCTTCGGGCTAAATATTATCATTTCATGTTAAAACCATTAGGTGAATAGTTGTTTGGGGATCTGGGCCTTGGTACAGTATCAAATAACACCAGAAACTACTTTCTGGTTTCAAGGGGGAAAAGAACAACTGTGGAATCAGACTGTCACGACGCTAATCCTATGGTAAATCTAAAATCATTAATGAGGCCAGGTGCAGTGGCTCACTCCTGTAATCCCAGCACTTTGGGAGGCCGAGGTGGGTGGATCACTTGAGGTCAGGAGTTCGAGACCAGCCTGGCCAACATGGCGAAACCCTGTCACTACTAAAAAAAAACAAAAATTAGCCAGGCATGATGGCACACTGTAGTCCCAGCTACTCGGGGGGTTGAGGCGGGAGAATCGCTTGAACGTGGGAGGCGCAGGTTGCAGTGAGCTGAGATCGCGCCACTACACTCACAGCCTGAAGGACACAGCGAGACTCCATCTCAAAACAAATAAATAAAAATAAAATAAAATAACTAACATAAGTCGACCAGATTTGTGGCATAACAGGAGATACAGCATCACCTATGAAGGATTCTTGCCAAAAATGCTTAACTTCAATCAGATTTTTTCTTTTTTTTTGAGATGGGAGTCTCACTCTGCCACCCAGGCTGGAGTGTAATGGCACAATCTCAGCTCACTACAACCTCTGCTTCCTGGGTTCAAGCGATTCCCCTGCCTCAGCCTCCCAAGCAGGTGGGACTATAGGTGTGTGCCACCATGCACGGCTAATTTTTGCATTTTTAGTAGAGAGAGGGTTTCATCCTGTTGGCCACATTGGTCTTAAACTCCTGACCTCAAATAATCCACACGCCTTGGCCTCCCAAACTGCTGAGATTACAGGTGTAAGCCATTGTGCACTTGGCCAGAATCCTCAATATTCACACACCACTGGAGCTGTTTTAAAGTTTCCGGCTTTCTCTGCCACATACCCCAAAATTATTAAACTGATATGATTCAAAGTCAGTATAAAGTAGTAAGAAAAGGGTGGTCTTGTGTTAAGCATCATCCATAGCCCAATTACGAATCCTCCTGTTACATAGGAACTCAACACTCTGTTACACCACAGCAAACTAAAGCTTCTCCAAAATTAAAGAGACTATTGGCCTACAAGTTTCTTATCCCTCCAACTTGCCACACCCTCACTCTCAGGTCTCTTTACCTTGGCTTACCTTGACATTGGGCATGTATTTAGAGAAGCGCTCATATTCCTTGCTGATCTGAAAAGCCAACTCCCGAGTGTGACACATCACCAGCACAGACACCTTAGGCAGGAAGTATACGGAGACATATGGTAAATGTAGCTCTTCATTATCCCCTCTAGGGAAGTGACTGTCACAAAAACACACCTGGGCCGATAATAAATGACTTCAATTCTGTGATCTAAATCATGAACCCCACGCTTGCGACAGAACATCCCCCACAGCTGTCAGATTGTCAAGGGTAACAGAGGTCATGTGCTCATGGCTCTGCAAGCATCATGTAGTTAGGACAAAAACACCCTTCCCTTATAGTCCTAACCAAAATCCCCTCCCCAGCACTCTCCCCAAATATACCTGCCCAGTAACTGGCTCCAGCTGTTGCAGTGTGGCCAAGACAAACACTGCTGTCTTTCCCATGCCCGACTTGGCCTGGCACAGGACATCCATTCCCAGAATGGCCTGAGGGATGCACTCATGCTGGACTAAAAGTTGGGGGGGGAGGAAGATAAATTAGACTTCAGTCTCCAGATAACTCTACCTTTTTCACCATGCCAAGCCCATTTCTTACCACTCAATTCTCAAAGTCTAGTATTTACCTGGTTCTTGCCAACTTCCAGACCCATTTTACCTCTCTCTGCTCAATTACATTCACCTCAAAATCAGACTCTCCTAATTCCTCCTAGCTTTAGCCTCCTCCAGATCTAGGCCTTCCCAGTCCTAGTAACAAACCCCTTGCATCTACCAACCGCTCACCTTCAATGATCCTAGCTCTGTCCTTATTTTTCTTAATCTGTAACAATTCATGACATTTGAATACCTGCCACAGACCACTTCTCCTGCTTAGGTTGCTATACTTCGGGTCACGTAACTACTACAACCCTGGACAAAATGAAGGACTTGGTACCTGACCCAGAAGCCAGTCATCTCTAAACCAGTCATAGAGGTTTCCAGAGACCACAGTTGGCCTGGCCCAACAGAGGGAGACTACAGGTCCAAGCAGGACCTTTCTGGAAATTTAAAATTAGAAGTCAAGTGACAAAATTAAAAATAAGCAGACAAGAAAAGCCAGTCACAAGAATGAATGGCAGACCTGGAAGTCACTTTTGGATCATTAGCACTTTGGTGCTATCACGAAAGAAAGAATAAGCCTGTATAAGCCTCCTCTATCCAAAATTGTTTTTGATACTTATCCCGATTTTTTCTTCCTCACTGTCGCCCCGGCTGGTGCACAGTGGTGCAATCACGGCTCACTGAAGCCTCAACCTTCACCTGCTTAATTTCTGAACGTTTTGTAGAGACAGGAGTCTCGCTATGTTGCCCAGGCTTCTCTTGCACTTTTGAGCTCAAGTGGCCACCCTCCTGCCTCGGCCTCCCAAAGTGCTGGGATTACAGGCGTGAGCCACTGCACCTGGCCCTGATCTAGCCTTAAGTATAAACCCTTACCACCACCTGAGCAACGACAAACACATCTTTGTATTGTACCCTTAAAGAGCCCAATGAGCACTACATGCCCAAGAGAAAATTTACCTTCTGACGGATGCTCAAAGCCACAGTCGACAATGGCCCGGAGCAACTCTGGCTTGAGCAGGAAGTCACGAAAGCCAGAGCTGTGGATGGAGACATAGGAGCCCTTGACATCCTTCTTGGCAGGGGCCTCAGCCCCATCTCCCCCAGCTGCTGTCTCCACCTCATCATCTTCATAGTCCAAGAGCTCATTGTCCACATCGTTCTCTGCCATAACTGGGCCGGCAGGGGAAGAAGGGAAGGGGGATCTGGATGGGTTCTCGCAAAATAGGTGAAAACAAGGGGTGAAGAGTAGGGGATTGAGGAACAGCAAAGGAAAACAAAGATACTATTTCTAACAGAAGAGCTGGAGGGGGGAAAAAAAAAGCAAGACTTAATCACGAGCACAGCCTTCACCACCTCTTTTCCATCCCCAGTTCCCACTTTCCCTAAACCAGGAAACTTTTACCTGGAAAGAAAAACAGATACAAAACATAAAAACGAAAAGCAAATATAACAGAACAGAAAAAGCAGTACCAGGGAAAGTGGTTAGGACAGAGGTTCCCAACAAGATTAGCAATCACAGTAGCGGAAACCAGAAAAGTTGGAAGGGGAAGACCAACTTATAAATTCTTGATCTGAAAGTAACAGTGAGGAAATAGAATAGATAATAAAAGGTAAAATATGACTAATAACTTAGTAAAGTGGAAAATGGAGATGACAAGTAGAGTCCTGAAAAGTCCTCAAAGGAAGACTCCGCTTTCCCTATTATAATCCCACCGTTATGGATGCCTAACTCAGCAGCCATCAGTCAAGGGTGATAGATGAGGGTCATCACTGCGCAAAGCGCTCACCTTTCGAAAAGAAAACATCATATGGCCGCCGTCCACCTCCCATAGCTCTCAGCCTCCCACTTCTCAGTATCCTCCCTTCCGCTGTTTAAGCAAGCCTTGTGTAATTAGCATGGGGGGGAGGGGCGGTGCAAGACAAATGGCTCGGCCACAAAAAAACAAAATTCATGTCTCCACCCTACAATAAGAAAGCTAATAGGTGACAGAGAAAGGCAATCCCCGCCCAGGCTTTAACAGGATCTTTACCAAGTGGTCTCACATCACTGTTACGCTACGAAGGTGAGACTCCTTTTGGAGAAACATACAATGACACCAATCGTATCGTAAACACTTGGAAGGCACTCCAAATTAAGTTGGGCAAGTCAAGGTGAGAAAAATCCAACTGGGCCCAGAAACCAGCTCCTCCTCCCAGTCCCACCGAGGGCCGAAAAAGAGCTCAAGAAAGAACAAGGAAGGTGAGAAGAGCCCCGCCCTCCGCAAATACCAAGACCAAGGGACGCCGAGCACCGCCTCTCATTGATGCTGAGGCCTCCAATATGAGAAGAACCCATTGGAAGAAGGGAGCAAAACGAACACAATGGCGCCGAGGACACCATCTTGGATTGGGTCCCCCCTTAGCTTCCCTTCCTTCCCCCAGGAGCTCTTTGCTCTCGAAAGGGATGCAAGCTAAGGAAATAGCGAACCAACTAGGCCCCAGCGACCAGACCATCGCCTGTGAAAAGGGTATCAGGAACCCATGTGACGGGATGGGTGCGGAGAAGCGCAGATGGAAACGGATTGTAGCGAAGGCCAAAGCTTACCTAAACAGGGAGAGCGCGTATGGCGGCAGCAACAGCGACGAAGGAGGGAAATCTGCCTTCACTTCCGGTTGCAGGCTTCCCTCTACTCCAGCCTCCCGCCTTCTTGGCTGCAAGAGCGCAGGCGCAAGGGACCGGAAACAGGGCCTTCCGCGGTTATACAGATCCGTGCGCTCCAGGCTTGCCTTTGGAAAATGCCTGTCTGAAATTTGTTTTAAAACCGTTTCTAACTTCACTGCTACCTCCAGTAACAAAAGATATAAAGGAAACTAACGTCTCCCCCCCACTGTTATCTTTATTCTCTTATCCTACTCCTCTCCATGCCCCTCATCTCTTCGTTTAGGTTTTTGCCACGCAGGTCTTCTCTGTAGGCACCCCTCCGTGGATGCGCGAGGAACGAGTGTGGCGAAGGCTGCGAGTTCCCACGGGGTCCTTGGCCCGGTAGTGAAGGTGACCTGAGGACTGCTGGGCACGCACTAGGAACCGGCAGGCCCTAGCTGAGGGGAGGGAGGAGGGAAGTCTCAGGGAACTGGATTGCTCGGGGGTGTTTCCCGACTCTTTCCCAGTCGTGGGGCTGGTGGGCGGTATTTTCCCAAAAGGATGCTGTCCGAGGTAGCTGATGCCCTAGGGCCAGTGAGTCAGGAAGGTGTTCTGAATCCGAGCGGGAAGACGGGGTCTGGATTCGGCCCCAAGTGTTAATAGTAGGGCTTGAGGGTTATACTACATTCCATTAATACTGTTTTTGTTTTTGTTTTGAGACAGAGTCTCGCCCTGTCGCCCAGGCGGGAGTGCAATGTCCTGATCTCGGCTCACTGCAACCGCTGCTTCCCGGGTTCAAGCGATTCTCCTGCCTCAGCCTCCCGAGTAGCTAGGATTACAGGCGCCCGCCACCACGCCCAGCAAATTTTTGTTTTTTTAGTAGAGACGGGGCTTCACCCATGTATGACCTCAGGTGATCCACCCACTTCGGCCTCCCAGAGTGCTGGGATTACAGGCGTGAGCCACCGCGCCCGGCCCATTAATACTGTTAATTCGAGCAGAATGTTCTTGGCCCCGCCCCAACAGCCCCATTGTTCAACCTGGATTTTTTTCCTGAATGAAACATTTGCTATCCCCGTCTTTGAGATGGGGAGCCACAAAAGTAAGACCTGATGTCCTGCTGTGTAATAAAACAACAAACGTTTGGCCCTCTCCCTGTTAACATACTTAATCATTTAATACTAAGGAGTAGGTACCGTTATTCTCATCTTATTGACAGAAGCGAAGCAAAGCAACATATCTCAAGCAGTACGGCTGGTGAGGTTACAGCCAGGATGCAAACATCTCTCATTCTCTATTGTATTCTGCCTCCCTGCTCAAAGAATCTGGTTAGTAAATACACTGCAGGTTACCTTATTGGTTCAAATTCTTGGTGAAGTAAGCTTGTCTTCAGTGACAAATGAAGTAACTAATTCAAGAATGGTGTCATAGAAGGTATTTTCCCAAGTATCATTTAATTTATTCAAAAGTATTTATCAACTGCCTCCCTTGTGCCACATGTTGTCCTAGGATCTGGGGACACAACGGTGAACAGCCCTGTTCTCACAGTGTTTACATTACAGGAAAGAAAACACATAAACACAAATATAATGTCAAGTATCGATAAGTGGTCAGGGTGCAGTGGCTCAGGCCTGTAACCCAACCCTTGAGGAAGCCGAGCCCGAAGGATTGCTTGAGCCCAGGAGTTTCAGACCAGCCTGGGCAAGTGAGACCCCATCTCTACAAAAAATTTTAAAATTAGCAAGGCATAGTGGCACTCGCCCGTAATCCCAGCTACTCAGGAGGCTGAAGTGGGAGGATCATTTGAGTCCAGGGGGTCAAGGCTGCCGTGAGCTGGAACTCCAGCCTGGGCAACACAGCAGGACCTTGTCTCAAAAAACCAGTAGCAGTAAGTGCTATGAAGAAAATGCAAGGTAAAGGGGCAAAGAGCACTTGCTCCTACACTCCAGCTTTTCTCTACAGTTGCGATCTATAGTCCTCAGATTCCCAAATGAGGAACCATGTTTCTCACTTTAGAGAAATAATAAAGTACTACTTGTTCTTGTTTCTCCAAGAAGTTTCAAAGGATAGCCATTTGGGCTGTTTAGGGAATATATAAACAAAAAACAAGAAAGTGACTGAAGGCCAGGCACAGTGGCTCACACCTCTAATCTCAGCACTTTGGGAGGCCAAGGCAGGTGGATCACTTGAGGTCAGGAGTTTGAGACCAGCCTGACCAACATGGCGAAACCCCATCTCTACTAAAAATACAAAAAATAGCCAGGCGTGGTGGCACACACCCATAATTCCAGCAACTTGGGAGGCTGAGGCAGGAGAATCGCTTGAACCTGGGAGGCAGAGGTTGCAATGAGCTGAGATCACGCCATTGTATTCCAGCCTGGGCAACAAGAGCAAAACTCCATCTCAAAAAAAAAAAAAACAAAGTGACTGAAAATGAGAAATGATGAGGCAAAAGGAGGCTGCTTCAACTCACCAATTTATTTGCCAATAATTATTTTATTGATACTTTTTTTATTGTTACAATGGGAAAGTAAGGTGTCAAGGATATAGAAAGGAAGGGCATGCATATGAGGGAACACAGTATCATTTTAGATCTTAGAAAGCAATGAGCATCTGATAAGTCTTTGGGGAAATAGGAAAGGAGGAAAATCTAATAAAGACAAAGATCAGCAAAAGAAAAACAAAGAGAGGCTACAAAATGCAGTTATCTACCTGGAATTATAAGAGAGGGGCTAAATGTAGTCATCTCCTCTTTTTGGAGATCAGAAGGTCTCTGGGAAAAGAGAAGAACCAATTTTTCAGAAAATAACTAGGGTCACAGAATGAACAAGTGGAATTAGAGAGCCAGTGATGGACGTGAGGAAACAGCTGTGTAGGTTTTGACCAGTGAGCAGGTGGTGGTAATAGTATCACAGGGTTGCTACTTACTGAATCACTGCTACAACATGCAAGGAACTGTGCTAGACTTTACAGAATGATTCCTAATCATTGAAGCAACCCTCACAAGGTAGGCATTATTATCATCCCAGTTTCACAGAGGAGGACATCGAGGCTACCAAGTTAAGTAGCTTGTCCTGGTTTCACAGCCAGCAAGTGACAGGGTCAAGAGAGGGACCCACATCGGCCAGACACTGAAGTCAGGATGTTTTCCACATTCCTACTTCCCCATATTACAAATTTCACAGAGGGTTTAGGTGAGAATGACTTGGAAGTTTACAAAGTCCCAGTGAGGGTTAAAGAACAACAAGGAGATTCAGATGTGAGCAGGATATTTATAAGTGTCACAGGAAAATTATTGGATCCTGCCTCCCAGGATTTCTAGGGGATGGAAAGAAGACAGGGATTATGGTGGGAGGTGATTTTGATTGGAGGATTTCTTTGAGGGAGGGAACTGGCAGAAGGAGTCAGGCCCTACGGTGGCCCTAGGCAGAAATCCGGTAGTTGGGGTGGACCTGGGGCCTGACGTCGCAGACCATGCCAAGAAGCTGGGCCAGGACACGCTCTCGGTTTCTCTGCTGGGAGCTCTGCATGCCCTGCACCTGGCGCCTTGTAGCCTGCTCCACCTCAGCAGACAGGTTCCCCTGGGAGCCCATGGCCTGGGGGGTAGGGAGAGGGGTGGAAGAGAGAAAGGGAAAAGCAGAAACAGACAAGGGTCCAGGCATATGAGGGGAAAGATCCTGAAACAAAGCCTAGAAGAAAGGCCCTCTCAGAAACCACCCCCATCCCACAGAAATATCCCAACACCAAAGAGATCAACACAGTCCCCTTTCCCCTTAGACCTAACATGCAACTTCATACTAAAACAGACCGTAATATCCCCACCACCTCACCATCCATGACCATAAAACTCTACCCTCCACCACAAATGTTAATCATACTCCACATAGATGTTATACTTTACACAGACTGTGGCATTCCGCCCACAAGCTCTATGTGGCCTTCAAAACTCCCAGACTCTCCTACATATCATCACAAAGTTTCACCAATGTTGTGGTCCCTGCCAGGGTCCCCTCAGCCTCAGCCCTCTGCCACCATATTTTCTTGTTGAGTCACCCTTACACACCTCACTAGATGCACCCACCAACTTGCAGTGGGGTCTCATCCCGACTCTGCCTCAACTCACCGCCTGCTGCTTGCTCTGGAATTCGTGCTCTCGCTCTCTGCGGTATTGCTCCACCTCCATCTGTGCCTCCTCCTTTGCCTGCTTCAGTCGCCGGGCCTTCCCTGGAGGCAGAAGAAAGGACAGTGAGTGGGGATGGACCCACACACACACAATGTAATAGCAGGAGTCAGTCCCTTCCAGAAAGTTATACAGCCTTCTCTCAGCCAACCAGGTGCCAGATTCTAATATCCATCCATTTCTTCCCTCCTAACCAGCCTCCAGACCCTAGCTGTCTTCCCGCCAGCCTTGGGTTTTCCCAAAATGTTTGCTGTCCCCCACCCCCAATTTTCTTTCCAAACTCCTAAGGGAGGAAAGAGGAGACTCACTCTTTCTGGCATCTGCCACCTTCTCAGCTGCCCGCTTCTCAGCTTGCAGAAGCTGCTGGATACCTTGGGACTGACTGGCCATTTCTGTTGTTATGGCCGATGCTGTTTTGAATGCTGTCAAAGTACCAGATGGCTCCCACCCCCCACCGCTTACTTCTCCTCCTCCAGCTCGTTGCTGCAGTCCTCCACTACCCCTGGGTCTTAGTGCTCCCCTGCTCACTCAGCCTCCTGCACCGAGTGTCTCTCCCAATCTCATCCTCCTATTGATGACTGGTCCTCCTCTCCAGCACTTCTTGCTCAGGCAGTACCCAAAGGGGCCGCCTGGGAGCAGCAGAGACCAGGCCCAAAGCTGCGGGCTTACAACAGGTTAGCCATCCCAGTCGGAAAGGTCTAGGGATGAGGCAGGGGCGGAGACGGGGGAGTACTGAGGTGAGAGAAGGAGAACTTGATTGGTGGTAACAGAGGAAGCATAAAGGGTTGTGAATGCGGTGAAAAGGTAAGGATGTCATCATGCAACCTGTGTTGGGAAAAGAGCATTCTGGGCTTAATTCTAAACTAACTCTCTACCTTTCTCTCTCTCTCCACCATCCCGCCCCCTCCCCTGCCTCCCGTTGTTAACATCTCCATCTTTTTCTACATATTTCTCAAGTCCAAATTTTTGCATCTCACTTGCCCCATCCTACGATAGTCTTCTTCCGTCTTTTGTCTGTATTTTTTCTTTTTTTTGATCTGTCCCTGTTGTTGTCCCACTGTGGTTTTTGTTTTTGTTTTCCATGTTTAATGTGATTTTTATCCTGTCTTTATCTCCTCTATTTTCTCTGTCTTCTCATCTTTTCGTCCATCACTGAACCATCTCCTCTCTCTGCCAAGTTAGAGGAGGCGGGAAAAAACCTCCAAATAACTCTCTTTTCTCCCTCCCCTCCCCTCGCCTCCTTTTCCTCGCCTCCAGTCCAGTCTTCTGGTTTCAGACGGCCCCTTTAATTTAAGTTCCCTAGTTTCCCCTGGGAGATCTGGCCAAGAACTACCCGGTCGGGGCGGAACGACATCCGGTAACGCCCCTCACAGTTCACTTCCGTCCTCCACCTGCGTCTCTGCTTGCGCCATTTCCTCCAGCCTGGAGTGTCTCCGCCCTTCCCGCCTCCCGTCTCCGAGCTTCTTAAACACAGGCCTTGGGCCTACGGCTCTGGGGGTACTTGGGGGGGCGGGGGCAGGTCTGATGAGTAACCCCTCCCCCCAGGTTCCAGAGGAAGAAGCCTCCACATCTGTCTGCCGGGTACATGATATTCAATTTCTAGATCATTATTGGAGATTATCTGTGACTTTTTAAAACTCAGATTTCTGCTGATAAAAATTTTCCCCATCCGGCCCTGTTGGGTTTTTTTAAAGTTCTTTGTTAAAAATTAAAAATTTACCTGGGCTCCTGAGCCTTAAACCAATTATTTACCCTTTTCTCGAATTTTACATTAAAAAAATTAAACCTCTGATCCTATCACCCCCCTCAAAAAAAATTTTTTTTCAAATCTATCATCTGATAAAGGATCAGGGTTAGGTTAGGCCTCATCTCTTGCTGAAGATATTAAAAAAAGACGGAACCAAAGGGAGAAACAACAGGGGATGTCAGAGATGGAGGGAGAAGGACCAGCCAAGGCTGAAGTCCTGACTGCTGCCTTTTTTCCTTCCCCAGCCCAAGAGTTCCATGGCCTCCACTTCCCGCCGCCAACGCCGAGAACGTCGCTTTCGTCGTTACTTGTCTGCAGGACGGCTGGTCCGGGCCCAGGCCCTCCTCCAGCGACACCCAGGCCTCGATGTAGATGCTGGGCAGCCCCCACCACTGCACCGGGCCTGTGCCCGCCACGATGCCCCTGCCCTGTGCCTGCTGCTTCGGCTCGGGGCTGACCCTGCCCACCAGGACCGCCATGGGGACACGGCACTGCATGCTGCTGCCCGCCAGGGCCCAGATGGTGAGTCTGCTCAGTGGGGAACAAGGTCATAAGCAGCTGACCAGACCTGAAATGAAAGCCAACCAATAGTTGAGAAATAAGCTGGTTATTTGGTCATCAGGACCTAGGGAAGGAGTTAACCAAGTTGGCATGTGGCTGTCATTTGTCCCTTTACATTACTGAGCTACCATTGTCTGAAGAACCCAACATTCCCCAAAGATCAACTGGTCTTCAAATTTCACATCTGTTTAGATTAGTAGCTACTTTGTTTCTTGACAGATTGTTTGCTCGTAGCCAAAAAGTAGCATAGAAGGTAGGCTCTGGAGTTAGATTGCCTGGATTCAAACCCCAGCTCCAAATCCCAGCTCCACACTTCATAGCTACGTATTCTTGGACAGGTTACTTGAGGCTTAGTTTGCCCATGTGTAAAAATTAAAATAATAACAACCTTTGCTATGTGCCAGACATTTCTTATAAAGTAACACATTTAATCCTCACAACAATCTTAGGAGGTGAGTACTGATATTATCCCCCATTTCCCAGCTGAGGAAACAGGGCATAGAGAAGTCATTTGCCAGAGTTACAGTTATTCACTGGTAGAGCAGAGATTATAACCCAGATGGACTAGATAGAGTGTCCATGCTTTTAACAGCTACATTGTCCTGTGTTATACATTATAGCATTGTACATTGATTGTGCCCATGTTCAGAGTACCCATGTTGTGCCATATATGTTTTGAGAATCAACTGACATAGTACATAATTAGAGTACCTGGCACACACGATAAGCACTTGGTATATGCTGGCGATTGTTGTTCCTGTTTCTCTGTTTTTTGTTTTTGTTTTTGTTTTTTATGAAGTTTCACTCTTCTTGCCCAGGCTGGAATGCAATGGTGCGATCCTGGCTCACTGCAACCTCTACCTCCCAGGTTCAAGTGATTCTCATGCGTCAGCCTCCCAAGTAGCTAGGATTACAGGCGCATGCCACCACGCCCAGCTAATTTTTATATTTTTAGAAGAGATGGGTTTTCGCCATGTTGGACAAGCTGATCTCGAATGCCTGACCTCAGGTGATCCACCAACCTCAGCCTCTCAAAGTGCTGGGATTACAGGTGTGAGCCACCACACCTGGCCTTGTTCCTGTTTTTGTTATCAACAGGTCCATACTCCCTTAACCACAATTCTAAACTCAAAAACACTCTGAGAACCAACATTTTTCATCAGGCTGCCACCAAAATTCATTTGGTGACAGAAACCTAATCTGAACTAAAGTAAGACTATTATTTATTTTCATCCTACTGATGTCAATATTCATACATTTCCCTGCAGAAACACTCATGTGTTTGGTTCTTGGGCTGCCTAGGCCCTCCTGGGCTACCTAATATAGAGTGAGTGTACTTTTAGGTCAGCCCTATCAAGTCCCAAAAACATTTGAATTCTGCAAAACCTTTGGCACTGAAGGATTCAAATGGGGAACCTGGTGATATTATAATAGTGGTGGAGGCCAGGTGCGGTGGGTCATGCCTGTAATCCCAGCACTTTGGGAGGCCAAGGCAGTCAGATCACGAGGTCAGGAGTTCGAGACCAGCCTGACCAACATAGTGAAACCCCCATCTGTACTAAAAATACAAAAATTAGCCAGGCATGGTGGCACACACCTGTAGTCTCAGCTACTTGGGAGGCTGAGGCAGGAGAATCACTTGAACCCCGAAGACAGAGGTTGTGGTGAGCCGAGATTGCACTACTGCATTCCAACCTGGGCAACACAGCAAGACTCCGTCTCAAAAAAAAAAAAAAGAGTGGTGGAAGCAGCTCTTTATAGGTAGAGCCCTGCTTACTAGAATAAAAGCTGAAACCTTCTTTCCCCATCTAGAGATTTCCTTCTGGAGTAAGAACATTACAGGAAAACCTCTAGATCCAGATGAACAACCCTAACATCCCCCAGCTCAAGTATAGACAGAAGGCCCCTCCCCCGAAACTCCCCCAAATGGTCAAAAAACCCCCTATTTAAAAATTTCCTTTAACGTACCTGAGATAGGCTAGCATATTCAGATTTGTTTCTTGTTGTTTTTACTTAAAACAGAGTAGGTTTACTGAGTGCAGGCATCTAACTTGACAGCTCATATTGTAAGAGGCAGGACCCTGGAAGGCAAAAGAGCAGATTACCCCGAAGCAGACCTGCATCCAGACCCCAGCTCTGCCATCAACAGGGACATGCAGCTTACCTCTGTGAGCCCAATTTGCCTCGCAAAAATGGGAGTTTTGTTTTTTGTTTTGTTTTGTTTTTTTGAGATGGAGTTTCCCTGTTGTTGCCCAGGCTAGAGTGCAATGGCGCGATTTCAGCCCACCTCAACCTCTGCCTCCTGGGTTCAAGAGATTCTCCTGCCTCAGCCTCCCAAGTAGCTGGGATTACAGGCATGCACCATCACGCCCGGCTAATTTTGTATTTTTGGTAGAGACGGTTTCTCCGTGTTGGTCAGGCTGGTCTCAAACTCCCGACCTCAGGTGACCTGCCAGCCTAGCCTCCCAAAGTGCTGGGATTACAGGCGTGAGCCACCGCGCTCAGCCAAAATGCCCCTGATAGTGTGGTAGGGATTTCCTTTATTGTTTGTTTGCTTGTTTGTTTTGAGACAGGGTCTCATTCTGTCTCCCAGCCTGGAGTGCAGTGGTGCAATCATGGCTCACTGCAGCCTCTACCTCGTGGGCTCAAGCAGTCCTCCCACCTCAGCCTCCCTAGTAGCTGGGACTACAAGCACACACCACCATGCCCAGCTAATTGTTTGTATTTTTGGTAGAGACTGTTTTGCTATGTTATCCAGGCTGTTCTGCATCTCCTGAGTTCAAACAGTCTGCCCACCTCGGCTTCCCAAAGTGCCGGGACTAGAGGCGTGAGCCACCACACCCAACTCCATTGTATTGAATTTTAAGAAGCTGGTGAGACTGATATTATCCCATTTACAGATGAGGAAAGCAGGGCCCAAAAGGTTCGGGAACTTGTCTGAAATCTCACAGCTCTCAGGTCATTGTCTTCCAAAGGGGGACCCAAGCTCAGTGCCTTCACTCCCAGACCCTGGTGTCCTCTCTGGCCTTATTTACTCCTGGTCCTCTGCCAGCCCTGCCACCAGATGGCCTTCTAACTCCTTGGTTGAAAGGCCCATCTCATTCAGCTTCCAGCTTCCTTTTTCTTTTCCTTTTGAGACAGAGTCTTGCTTTGTCGCCCAGGCTGGAGTGCAGTGGCATGATCTCGGCTCACTATAACTTCTGCTTCCTGGGTTCAAGCGATTCTCCTGCTTCAGCCTCCCAAGTAGCTGAGATTACAGGCACACACCACCATGCCCAGCTAATTTTTTTATTTTTATTTATTAATTTTTAAATTTTTATTTGTTTATTTATTTTTGAGACGGAGTCTCCCTCTGTTCCCCAGGCTGGAGTGCAGTGGCAGTATCTTGACTCACTGCAACCTCCGCCTCCTGGGTTCAAGTGATTCTCCTTCCTCAGCCTCCTGAGTAGCCGGGACTACAGGAGCCTGCCACCATGCCCGACTAACTTTTGTATTTTTAATAGAGATGGGGTTTCACCACGTTGGCCAGACTGCTCTCGAACTCCTGACCTTAGATGATCCACCTGCCTCGGCCTCCCAAAGTGCTGGGATTACAGGCATGAGCCACCATGCCCGACCTAATTTTTGTGTTTTTAGTAGAGATGGGGTTTCAACATGTTGGCCAGGCTGGTCTCAAACTCCTGACCTCAAGTGATCCACCCACCTCAGCCTCCCAAAATGTTGGGATTATAGGCATGAGCCACCGTGCCCATCCCACAGAATGTCTTTTGGTTTTGTTTTTGTTTTCTGTTTTGTTTTGTTTTGTTTGAAAAGGAGTCTCATTCTGTCGCCCAGGCTGGAGTGCAGTGGCACAATCTCGGCTCACTGCAACCTCCACCTCCCAGGTTCAAGAGATTCTCCTGCCTCAGCCTCCCAAGTAGCTGGGACTATAGGCGTAGGGACTGTAGGCGTATGCCACCACGCCTGGCTAATTTTTTGTATTTTTAGTAGACACGGGGTTTCACCATGTTAGCCAGGATGGTCTCGATCTCTTGACCTTGTGATCTGCTCACCTCAGCCTCCCAAAGTGTTGGGATTACAGGCGTGAGCCACAGCGCCTGGCCAAAATGTTTTTATGTTTATTTTTCTTAGTATGAAACTCCAGCGTATTAAAGAGCATTGAGAACGGTTGATCTGGTAAATCGCTATAAAGGCGGCATTTCTTTTTTTTTTTTTTTTTTTTTTTTTTGGCGAAGTGGGGGATGGAGTCTCATTCTGTCGCCCAAGCTGGAGTGCAGTAGTGTGATCTCGGCTCACTGCAAGCTCCGCTTCCCAGGTTCAAGCCATTCTCCTGCCTCAGCCTCCCAAGTAGCTGGGATTACAGGCGCCCGCCACCACGCCCAGCTAATTTTTTGTAATTTTAGTAGAGACAGGGTTTCACTGTGTTGGCCAGGCTGGTCTCGAACTCCTGACCTCATGATCCGCCCGCCTCGGCCTCCCAAAATGCTGGGATTAGAGGCGTGAGCCACCGCGCCAGGCCTAAAGGGGGCATTTCTAATACTGGAGAAAGGTGAACTTTTTTTTTTTTTTTTTCCGAGACAGAGTCTCGCTGTGTCACCCAGGCTGGAGTGCAATGGCGCAATCTCAGCTTGCTACAACCTCCGCCTCCCGGGTTCAAGCAATTCTCCTGCCTCAGCCTCCTGAGTAGCTGGGCACCTGCCATCATGCCCAGCTAATTTTTGTATTTTTGTAGAGATGGGGGTTTCACCGTGTTGGCCAGGCTGGTCTTAAACTCCTGTCCTGACCTGAGGTGATCCACCCACCTCAGCTTCCCAAAGTGCTGGGATTACAGGCATGAGCCACTGTGCCTGACCAGGTGAACTATTTTATAAATAATATTGGAACATTTGGCTCATCTAGGGAAAAACAAGAGTCCCACCTCACACCTAATCAAAAAGTAAATTCCAGCAGATTAAATACCTGAATATGACAGGAAGGTACACACCAAATTCATGGGACAGATGGCCTGGGGAGGAATGAAACTTGGAAGGCGGTATCACCGTAAACTACCTTTATCTGTGATGATTTTATTTCCTTAAAATAAATTATACTACAAACATGACAGTACATTAACAAACCCTGTGGTAGGAATGGGGTTGTGTATTGTATTATACTTTGTATTTTTGAGAGTTTTTTAATTTCTTTTTTGTTGTTGTTGAGACAGAGTCTCACTCTGTCACCCAGGCTGGAGTCCAGTCGCGCAATCTTGGCTCACTGCAACCTCTGCCTCCCGGGTTCAAGCAGTTCTCTGCCTCAGCCTCCCAAGTAGCTGGGATTACAGGCATCCGCCACCACGTCAGGCTAATTTTTGTATTTTTAGTGGAGACGGGGTTTCACCATCTTGGCCAGACTGGTCTTGAACTCCTGACCTCATGATCCACCCACCTTGGGCTCCCAGAGTGCTGGGATTACAGGCATGAGCCACCGCGCCTGGCCGAGTTTTTTAATTTCTAAAAATAAAAATGAGTATACATCTAAAGTAGTAGAAGAAAATGCAGAGAATGTTTTATAATCTTAAAATAGAGCCTTCCTAAGAGTGAAGTGAAATAAAAAGTCAGAAAATAATATATTGATATAGATTTAACTACATGAAAATTTTAGGCTGGGTGCGGTAGCTCACACCTGTAATCCCACACTTTGGGATGCCAAGGTAGGCAGATCACTTGAGCCAGGAGTTCAAGACCAGCCTGAACAACACAGTGAGACCTGGTCTGTACAAAAAATACAAAATTAGCCAGGCGTGGTGGTATGTGGCTGTCGTCCTGTAGTCCCAGTTACTCAGGAGGCTGAGGTGGGAGGATCGCTTGAGCCCAGGTGGGGCAGAGTTTGCAGTGAGCAAGATCATGCCACCGCACTGCAGCCTGGGCAACAGGGTGAGACCTTGTCTCAAAAAGAAAAAAAAAAGCTTTTTTAAAGATAGATAGAAGAAAATGTTTGCAATATGTATAACACATACAGTATATAGAACCCTCATATCAATATATATAATTTCCAAAGAAAAAGTGGATAAAGAATATGAGCAATTCATTCACAAAAAATACAAATAGCCAAAAGACATGAAAAAGAAAAAAACATTGTTAATAAAATAATTTTTTAATCTATCCAACTGGCAAAATTAAAAGGGTTGATGATATTCAATTTTGGTAAAGGAAGACATAGGCACACTTGTATATTGGCACAAACTTATTGAGAGCAGTTTGACCAAATTGCGCATGTCCTTTGACTCAGAAATTCCACTTATGAAAATCTACCCCCACAGAAAGACTGTAAGATACTCATGAGGCTGAACATTTTTTGAAACAAAGTCTATCGATATTGGGGTAAGGAGATTTGTTTTGTACACACAGTGGAACACTAATTATAAAGTCGTCAAAAAGTATGAGGTAGACTGTATATATTCCTGTGGAAAAATATAAATGAGATGTTAAATGAAAGAAGCAAGTTGCCAAGCAATATTTGTAGTATGGTTACATATCTCCAAATAAATGTGTCATATGTATGCTTTTAGGTACACCAAGGTGGGACTGGAAGGGATCACAGTACACTGTTAATAGTTATCAAATTTGTTCGTCCTTCTTTAAAAAGAAAATTTCAACTTAATTATATCCCTTTCACATTAAAATGTCAAATAAAATTGGGGGAAAAGCCACCTACAGCCCCACCACCCATAGGCTAGAATTTTTACATATTTTTTGCCAGTCTATTTTTTTTCTTTTTTTTTTTTTTTTTTTTGAGATGGGAGTCTCCCTCTGTTGCCCAGGCTGGAGTGCACTGGCATGATCTCAGCTCACTGCAACCTCTGCCTTCCAGGTTCAAGTGATTCTCCTGACTCAGCCTCCCAAGTAGCTGGGATTACAGGCACATGCTACCACGCCTGGCTAATTTTTGTATTTTTAGTAGAGACAGGGTTTCACCACGTTGGCCAGGCTGGTCTCGAACTCCTGACCTCAGGTGATCCACCCGCCTCAGCCTCCCAAAGTGCTGGGATTACAGGCCATGAGCCACCACGCCCGGCCTCTTTTTTTCCAACCATAGGATTTGGTCTCTTGTTTTAGACAGTTATTATCTGATCCTCTCTCTCTCTCTCTTTTTTTTTTTTTTTTTTTTTTTTGAGATAGAGTCTCACCCTGTCACCCAGGCTGGAATGCAGAGGCGCGATCTCGGCTCACTGCAACCTCCGCCTCCCAGGTTCAAGCAGTTCTCTGCCTCAACCTCCCAAGTAGCTGGGATTACAGGCGTCAGCCACCACGCCTGGCTAATTTTATATATAATATAAAATATAATTATATATATATTTTGTTTGTTTGTTTTAGTAAAGACGGGTTTTCACCATCTTGGCCAGGCTGGTATTGAACTCCTGACCTTGTGATCCATTGTCCCCCCCCCCAGCCTCCCAAAGTGCTGGGATTACAGGCGTGAGCCACCGTGCCTGGCCACATCTGATCCTCTCTACAGTTTTGTAGCCAGCTTTTTTCAAACACATGCCTCAGTTGTAGTGGCTGTTTAATATTATGTTTTTATAGTTGGAGGCCCTACTCCTTAAAACCTATGAATGTAAACCTCCCATGCAAGCCTGAGCACTCACCATGCTCACCACCTGAGCTCAGGTGGGGAACAAGCGAATGAGAGACAGGACCAGGTACTTTCTGGGTGGGACAAGTTGAGAGGGTCTGTGACAGGTCACAGCAGCACTAGGGAGAAGTGCCCCCCCCACCAACCCTGATGTGATTTGGGTAGGGATGGTGGGCCTTCGCCAGCCACACCTGGGCCATTCTGTCTTCTTGCCTTCCTGGCCTTGCCTTCCCCTATTCCAGCTTTCTGCCAGGTAAACAGTACTTTCCAGCACTACCAAATAAAGATTTAAGGACTGCTAGCCCATTTCCTCTTACCCCGGGGAAAGAAAGTAGGTCCACAGGAAGGAAGGCTGCCTCCCTCCCCTTCTTCTATCCCCCAAGTGAAAGAGGTGGTTGGTGGCCACAGCAGGTGGGCCTGGCCAGGATGCCTGGGTTGGCAGTGAAGGAAGTAGCATGGCACTCAGCTAACCTTGGGCCAGATGCAGCAAGGTTGGGACTGAAGAAAAGGGGAGTTCAGGAACGTCGGTTCCTCTCCTGTTTTCTCTCAGCCCATGGGTGAGACCCTCTGTCACACTCCACTCCCTTTCCCCTGCCCTAGGTCAGCAGTCATTTGGAAAGAGCTTGCTCTGCCGCCGGCCATAGTTGTTGCCGGTTCACCTCCCCACCCCTCTCCCATCATCCCCTGGTAAGGCTGGCTGAGAGAAATTCCCCTGAAAACATTTATTTTACTCAGTTTATTGATAAGTGATAATAAAAGATAAGTATTACATATTTGTGTATTTATTAATGGCCCAGAGTAGAGCATTCAGATATTTTCCCAGTCTGATATATGGTTTCAGGTGAGAAAATAAGGGATTTATATAGTGACAATATTTTTAAGTGAAAAGTGGAATACATAGTCAAAGAATTTGGGCACTGCCTTGGTGGCTGGAGGCAGGTCAGAAAATGTCAGTTGGCATGGTAGAACTTCTAGGATGCTGAAATAGTTTGTGGAGACACAAGTAAGAATTTTTTTTTTTTTTTTTTGAGACGGAGTCTTGCTCTGTCACCTAGGCTGGAGTGCAGTGGCACGATCTCGGCTTACTACAAGCTCCACCTCCCGGGTTCACATCATTCTCCTGCCTCAGCCTGCCGAGTAGCTGGGACTGCAGGCGCCCGCCACCAGGCCTGGCTAATTTTTTGTATTTTTTAGTAGAGATGGGATTTCACCATGTTAGCCAGGATGGTCTTGATCTCCTGACCTCGTGATCCGCCCGCCTCGGACTCCCAAAGTGCTGGGATTACAGGCGTGAGCCACCGCGCCTGGCCGAGAATATTTTAAACTACCACACTTACCATGCATGTGGTAAACTATCAGTCTGTATTTATCAGTGATGGTTATTTCCTAATACCCAGGAGGCATCCATGTGAGCCACCCTTCCATTGCTTTAAGACCAAGGGAGCGAGTGACCAGCAGGATTCAAGATGGCAGCTCTGCCGAGGAGTGGGAGTCCCAGCTAACTTCTGCTCCCTGCTCTCCCACCAACAGCCTACACCGATTTCTTCCTCCCGCTGCTAAGCCGCTGTCCCTCTGCCATGGGAATAAAGAATAAGGATGGGGAGACCCCTGGCCAAATTTTGGGCTGGGGACCCCCCTGGGATTCTGCTGAAGAGGAGGAAGAAGATGATGCCTCCAAGGAGCGGGAATGGAGACAGAAGCTCCAGGGTGAGCTGGAGGACGAGTGGCAGGAAGTCATGGGGAGGTTTGAAGGTGAGAAGTCCACTGCTATCCACAGCTGCCCTTCCCCACTGGCTGCTTTCCATCTGCATGAATGCGTCACACTAGGCTCCTCTGCCCCCTCCTCTGTGCTTCCCTGCTTCTTGGGCCCATCACCTTCTCACAGCCTCTCTCCAACTACCCCCATCCCACCCTCCCAAACAGGTGATGCCTCCCATGAAACCCAGGAACCTGAGTCCTTCTCAGCCTGGTCAGATCGCCTGGCCCGGGAACATGCCCAGAAGTGCCAGCAGCAGCAGCGAGAAGCAGAGGGATCCTGTCGACCCCCACGTGCTGAGGGCTCCAGCCAGAGCTGGCGACAGCAGGAGGAGGAGCAGCGGCTCTTCAGGGAGCGAGCCCGGGCCAAGGAGGAAGAGCTGCGTGAGAGCCGAGCCAGGAGGGCGCAGGAGGCTCTAGGGGACCGAGAACCCAAGCCAACCAGGGCCGGGCCCAGGGAAGAGCACCCCAGAGGAGCGGGGAGGGGCAGCCTCTGGCGATTTGGTGATGTGCCCTGGCCCTGCCCTGGGGGAGGGGACCCAGAGGCCATGGCTGCAGCCCTGGTGGCCAGGGGCCCCCCTTTGGAGGAACAGGGGGCTCTGAGGAGGTACTTGAGGGTCCAGCAGGTCCGCTGGCACCCTGACCGCTTCCTGCAGCGATTCCGAAGCCAGATTGAGACCTGGGAGCTGGGCCGTGTGATGGGAGCAGTGACAGCCCTTTCTCAGGCCCTGAATCGCCATGCAGAGGCCCTCAAGTGACCCTAGGGAAGAAGCAAGAAACTTCGGGGCTGCAGCCTCAGGATGAGGCAGAAGGAAGGGTAAGGGAAAGGATGGGGACCACAAGGAAGAGCCAGGTGCTGCTCAGCAGAGGATATGGGTGGGAGCGAAAGTTGTAACAAGTGGGGGTGGGGGGTGCGGGCCGCCACCACTGCTCCTTGACTCTGCCGTTTCCTAATAAGACCTGGTTCCACATCTCACTCCCAGTGTCTCCTCTGTCTTTTTCCATTGCTGTGGTTTTCATCACCCATGACATCTCCTTTCCCGCCCCGCCTGCTGAAACCCACAGCTCCCACACACCTGCAACACACACGCACACGCTAACACGGGCTCTGAGCTGGAGGCAAGAAGCCTCTGCATGCCCCCTCAGTTCAGCCCTAAGAAGGCCCAGTTTGCCATCCAGTCTCACTCCACTCCCTACACTGGGGTCTTGTCCACCCTGCAATCTGTGGCTGGAGAAATAGATGCGAACAGAGGCAAAAAGGGGAACAAAACCAGTTTCCCTCCCCTCCCTGGCTCCCCAAGCTGAACCACATCCTCCTCCCCACTTAACACCCCCTTCCCCCAACACAGGGCTTTCCCTTTGCTGAGTCACTGAATGAGCGAGTTGGGGGTAGCCGGCGCTGGGGGGCCATGAGGAGGCTGGGGGAGGATGGGGAATACAAGCAGAATGGCTGGAGGAAGAGCCCTGTGGGGGAGTGGAATTTCAGTTGCTAAAATTAGGAGCAGGGGAAGGAGGTGGAAAGAGCAAAATTATGTAACATGGGTTGTCTGTTCTTGGGCAACTGGAGCTCCACACCCAAAGCCAGCCAGGCTGCTGGCTCCATCCATCTCTGCCCTCTAGCTTGTCAGTTGTATCTCTCTTCCTCCAGGGCCCCAATCCTCATCTCCGCCATTCAGCTGCTGCCCCATCCTAAACCTGAGTTCATCTCTGGGCAGCCCAGGCATGGCCTTCCCTATAAACATTTCCTTTTCCAAGAACCAGTAGTTGAAGTCCTGAGAGGTGGAGGGAGAGTCTGGGATTCCCACGGAGGAGAGAGGGGGGCTCCCTGGAAACTAAGATAGGTAGACCCCACTACCATCGCCCAGGACACAACTGGGAACTTGGCAAAAAGAAAGGACAGGGCTGCAAGGAGAGTACAGACATGTGCTGGTGAGTGCACTGTCTGCATAGTTACACCAGAGCATCTTATCAATCAGAAACTTATCTTTCAGGTTTTGAGCCCAGTTCTCTACAGGAGAATCCCAGGAGTGGAAGTGGAAGGCAGTAGAAGACAGGGAGGGCACGCCTCTGGGAACACGGGAACATGGGTGGGCATGAGATCCTTGAATAAGACAGCCTGAAGTTCGGAAGAGACCAAGGCCTCTGAAGGACCAGGCAGATGTTCAGGGTGCAGGAGGGGGAAGGGCTGGTGAGAAAGATCCTGTGAGAGGAAGCTGCTGTGATTCAGAGAAGAGACTTCAAGCTGTGTGTGACCCTGGCGTCCGGTTCCTCTCACAGGCTGGAGCTTTTCGGAAGTGGCATGCAAAGAGTCCAGGTTTGGCCTTGGGGGGAGTTGGGGTTAGGATCCCTAAGCTGGAGGTTGAGAAGTAAATTACAGAAAACTCTGGTGACCAAATTTGCTCCTCCACCCAGGAGATTTCTCACTGGTTTTTAAGCACATCATTTCCCCTTCTGCAAGAGTTACATAAAACCAAAGCAAAATAAGCCCTGAAACCTGGGCCCACCGGACCACAGTCTTTTCAACGTCCCTTCCTGGTGTCTGGCCCCCAGCCCTGGTGGGGGTTCCCCTGAGATAAGGGCTGTTCACTTTCTCTGACCACATGGTTTCCGCTTCTGTGTCTCTTGTTTCCTAGGCTGATAAAAATACTGAGCCCTAGAGGCCCTGGCTTCCTCTGACCCCTTGGGGCAGGCAGCACGCATCCTGTCCAGCATGGTGGGGGCAGGGACAGGGGCCAGGGATTCCCAAGGGGTGACTCAGTGCCTGCCATGAAACAGTGGGTAGGTGGAAGTGTATCTCTGCTCTCTAGAGCTGGCACCAGGAGTTGAGTCTCAGTGGAGGATGCATTGGGATTCAATTGGAGGAACAGGCCTGGAAAAGAATAATGAGATTGAAGAGGGTCAGTTTGAGGACTCAGGTTGGGGCAGGTTTGGATTAAGTTAGGAAAAGGATCTGGGAGGGACTCTGTTCAGTGTAGGTCAACTGAGCATTATGTAGCCCAAAGATAAATTTAAACCCTGCTTCAAGCTTACAATCTAGTGGGGAGGCAGACCCATACCTAGTTAACTGATTCAAGGCATGATGAGTAAACTTTAAGATGATTACAGAAAGAGGGGAGATTAAGTCCATTTGAAAGCATCCAGGGAGCCTCTGAGGAGACAGCATTTGAACTTGCTCTAATGAATGGGTTCACTAGGTGGAGGTGGATGGAAAGGTTCCATAGGCGAATAACACGTCTTGAGCGAGCCTGACAAGTCAGAAAATGCAGTATGTTCTGGGAAAGGAGCGTCCTGAGGGAGAAGAAGCACAGGTGTGAGGGAACATGTGATGAAGAAAGGACCACAGAAAGTCAAGGTCAGAGATTGGACTGCATCCTGTGGGCAGTGGTCCAGGTGACGATGAAAAAGAGGGAGAACAGGTGAGTGCTGCAGTACAGACAAGGAGTAAGAAAACGGCCATCATCTTGTGAATTAATACCTACTGTGTGTTAACCAGCCCTTTTCCTAACACCACAAATCCTCTCAACGTCTGTCCAAAAGGTGGGTGGTGGTGGCCAGGCACCTCACTCCTGTAATCACAGCACTTTGGGAGGCCAAGGTGGGAGCACTTTGGGAGGATCACTTGAGGCCAGGAGTTCGAGACCAGCCTGGCCAACATGGTGAAACCCCGTCTCTACTAAAAATATAAAAACTAGCTGGGTGTGGTGGTGGGCACCTGTAATCCCAGCTACTCAGGTGTCTGAGGCACAAGAATCACTTGAACCCGGGAGGCAGAGGTTGCAGTGAGCTGAGATCATGCCTCTGCTCTCCAGTCTGGGTGACAGAGCAAGACTCTGTATCCAAAAAAAAAAAAAATTATTAAGCACCTATTAGGAGCAGGGCACTGCTTGACAATAGGTATAAATAATAAAGTCACTGCCTTCATAGAACTTGCAGTCTAATGAGACAGTATACAAATAATAACTATACATTATAGTTATAATGTATAGGTATGCCTGCTTAGGGTAATAAAGTGCTCAATGAAGGTTTGAGGTACCAGCATGACTCTCAGGTGGAGATTTCCAGAAAGCAGGTCTGGAGCTCAAGAGAAGTTGGGTCTGGAGGAACAGATTTGGGCATCATTCCCTTCCCAGTAGAGGTTGAGCCTTTGAGTGGACAGGATCTTCAAGGGAGGGGGCGGAGTGACCAGAAGAGCCCTGAGCATGATCAAAGGAAGAGAACCAATAAAGGAGAGGTTGGGGAGCAGTCAGAGAAGTAGGGCACGGGGGGCGGGGGATGCCAAGCAGAGACAGGGCAGCCATGTTTGAGGCTTCAAAGAGGTCTAGTAAATGAGGGTTGAAAAGATTGTTGGGTTCAGGAACTAGACGATTACAAATTTTGAGAAAACCGTTTCCATTTAATAGAGGGGCAGAAATCACTTTACATAGGTTGAGGAATGAGTGGGAGGTGAGGAAAAGGAGGTGGTGGGCATGAGGTCAGAATGGTGAACACAGAATAACTGAGAATCATCTCTTAGTTCTACCCACAGATTTTACAGTTGAGGGAAATTTTACCAGTTCCTGAAAAAGTGGTTCGTTAAGGGGGCTAGTCTTTTGAGACATCACACGAAAACGGAAGGTGAGATAGACTGGACATTTGAGGGAGAAATATTCCAAGGAAGGATCTTTTTTGTTGTTTATTTTCAAGAAATAAAATTGAAGGTAAAATGAAGATGCTTAAAGAGACAAAGATAGGCCAGGTGCAGTGGCTCACACCTGTAATCCCAGCACTGTGGGAGGCCAAGGTGGGCAGATCACTTGAGGCCAGGGGTTCAAGACTAGTATGGCCAACATGGCAAAACCGCATCTCTACGAAAGATACAAAAATTAGCCAGGCGTGGTGGCACATGCCTGTGGTCCCAGCTATTCACTGAGGTGGGAGAATCGCTTGAACTCAGGAGGCAGAGGTTGCAGTGAGCCGAGATCACACCACTGCACTCCAGCCTGGGTGACAGAGCGAGACTCAGTCTCAAAAAAAAAAAAAAAAAGCCCAGGTGCGGTGGCTCACCCTTGTAATCCCAGCGCTTTGGGAGGCTGAGGTGGGCAGACTATAGATATCAGGAGTTCAAAACCAACCTAGCCAACATAGTGAAATGCTGTCTTTACTAAAAATACAAAAATTAGCTGGGCGTGGTGGCACACGCCTGTAACCCCAGCTACTCAGGAGGCTGAGGCAGGAGAATCACTTGAACCCGAGAGGTAGAGGTTGCAGTGAGCCGAGATCGCGCCACTGCACTCCAGCCTGGGCAACAGAGCAAGCCTATCCCAAAAACAAACAAGAAAGGGAGAGATAGTGAAAACATAAGCAAGAAGTGGGGAGATAATATAGTAAAGATAGAGGAAGTGGGATAGAGTACAGATAAAAGGATCAGTCTTGGAAACAAGAAAAAGTACTGTGAGTCAGTATGTAAGGAAAGATTAAATATAACAAAATTAAGGAAAAAGAGGGAAGTGAGATCCACACTTGATGGCCTTAAGCTCAATGAAATATTAATAGATGAGAGTGAAGAACATCAGAGGCACGGAGATTTAGAACATCACGCACAGGAGTATAATGGGGAGTCAACAAAGAATGAGTAAAAGTTGTGTCCAAGAACACTGATGACTCTCTGAGATTAGCTGGCCAGGATTAGTTATAGGCCTCTTATGGTGACTCAGCTGTCTACTGCAGCGCTTGGCAGCCTAAGACAAAGCCCCAAGAATGAGACCACTTAGTTTACCCAAGTCAATTTTTGAGACAGAGTTTCACTCTTGTTGCCCAGGCTGGAGTGCAATGGCTCAATCTTGGTTCCCTGCAACCTCTGCCTCCCAGGTTCAAGCGATTCTCCTCCCTCAGCCTCCAGAGTAGCTGGGATTACAGTTGCCCACCATCACGCCCAGCTAATTTTTGTATTTTTAGTAGAGATGGGGCTTCACCACATTGGCCGGGCTGGTCTCGAACTCCTGACCTCAGGTGATCCGCCCACCTTGGCCTCCCAAAGTGCTGGGATTACAGGTGTGAGCTACGGTGCCCGGCGGTAAGAGATTCTAAAATGCAGACAAAGTGGAGTTGAAATTGTTGACCATGCAGTACATGTTAAATCAACAAGCAAAACCAGGAAAGCAGAAGCAGCCGGAAGTCTTGGTAAGAATAAAGAACTGATTCAAGGGGAGGCAGAGAGTGGGAGATGTGAAAAGTGAGTGGTTGTGATGAGAAGGGTAATTCAGAGATCAAGATCTTGAAGGCATAATTCTTCCAAGTGATGCTGGGGTTTGAGGTACAACCTTACTCCTGGGTGGCTAAAATGGAGGAGGGAAGAAGAGGCTGTAAAACCAGTAGACTTGAGAAACTTGGAGAATTGAGAGGCCAGACTGTAAGACTCATCTGATCTGTGTGGCTTCTTTTTTTATTTTTATTTTTTTCCTCTGAGACGAAGTCTCGCTCTGTCACCCAGGCTGGAGTGCAGTGGTGTGATCTGGGCTCACTGCAAGATCCGCCTCCCGGGTTAATGCCATTCTCTCGCCTCAGCCTTCCGAGTAGCTGGGACTACAGGCACCCACCACCACGCCCAGCTAATTTTGTTTTTGTATTTTTAGTAGAGACGGGATTTCACCTTGTTAGCCAGGATGGTCTCGATCTCCTGACCTCGTGATCCACCCGCCTCAGCCTCCCAAAGTGCTGGGATTACAAGTGTGAGCCACTGCGCCCAGCCGATCTTTGTGGCTTTTAAAGTCACTAAAGATGGTGGTAGGAGGCCGGGTGCGGTGGGTCATGCCTGTAATCCCAGCACTTTGGGAGGCTGAGGCGGGTGGATTGCTTGAGCTCAGGAGTTCAAGACCAGCCTAGGCAACATAGCAAAACCCTATCTCTGGAAAAAAAAAAAAATACAAAACTTAGCCGGGCATGGTGGTATGCGCCTGTAGTCCTAGCTACTCAGGAGGCTGACGTGGGAGGATCACTTGAGCCCAGGAGGTCGAGGCTGCAGTGAGCCAAGATCACGCCACTGCACTCCAGCCTGGGTGACAGAGCAATACCTTGTCTCAAAAAACAAACAAACAAGGATGATGGTAGGGATAAGATGTGGAGAAAGACTGAGCTAGTTATACAAGTTGTTAAGAGCATAATAAATATTTTGATGGATAAGATTGTGCTGTGAAGACAGGAAGAGCATGGCAAATGCAAAAGGCACGTGCTTTGGGAGATGAGGAGGAGTTTATCAGTGGTCTGGGGGAGAGAAAATAACGACCCCTCTCTTCTGCCTTCATTCCCCTAGTGATGGAGGTCGAAGAAAGAGCAACCTTCACCACAGAGAGGAGTAGCATCATTAGGGGAAAGCCAGGTTTCAAAATGCCCAGAGGAAAATGCTTTCAAACATAGAAGACAGGATTTGAAAATGTGAAGAGTTCCACCAAATATTGTGAAATGGATTGGTAGAAGGGTCCTTGTGGGGTAGGGAATTGAATCCAGGGAGGTTAAATCCCAGTGGGAATTCAGAAGACTAAGTCTGGAGAGTTTAGCTTCTAGGAGCAGGAGGTTGTTGCCTCTGGAATTCAGAATGGAAGATGCACTGCATCCATTGTGAGGGGAAACAAGTGCCTCAAAGGGGTCTTATAGGGATGCACAAGATAAGTTCCATGGCTTTAAACACCATCCTCATGCTGACCATGCCCAGGTTTCTTTCTCTAGCTTGGACCTTGCCCCTGAAATCCAGATGTGTATCTGCCCAGTGACATCTCTACTTGCATGTCTAATAGACTTAGACTTACCACACCCAAAATAGAATTTTTTAGTTTTTCCATCCATCAGAATCCTGCTTCTCTCCCAGTATCTACATCTCCCACCCATCAATCCATCATCTAGTCCTGTTGTTTCTACCCCTGGAATGTATAATATATCCCAAACTTGTCTACTTCTCTCCATCTCCATGGCTGCCACTATTTTCTCTTCACCATCAATGTCACTGCCACCTGTCTCCTACCAGCCAGCCTAAACACAGGAGCCACAGTGATCTTTTAAAAACAAGTCCAGGCTGGGCGCGTTGGCTATGCCTATAATCCCAGCACTTTGGGAGGCCGAGGTGGGTGGATCACGAGGTCAGGAGTTCAAGACCAGCCTGCCCAACATGATGAAACCCTATCTCTACTAAAAATACCAAAATTAGCCAGGCACGGTGGCGCATGCCTGTAATCCCAGCTACTCGGGGGGCCGAGGCAAGAGAATCGCTTGAACCTGGGAGGTGGAAGTTGCAGTGAGCCAAGATCATGCCGTAGCACTCCAACCTGGGCAACAGAGCGAGACGCCATCTCAAAAAAAAAAAAAAGTCCAGGCAAGGCTCAGTGGCTCATGCCTGTAATCCCAACACTTTGCGAGGCTAAGGTGCAAGGATTGCCTGAGGCCAAGAGTTGAAGGCTGCAGTGAGCTATGATGGTGCCATTGCACTCCAACCTGGGCAGAAAAGTGAGACTCCATCTCTTAGAAAAAAAAAACCAGGCCGGGTGCAGTGGCACATGTCTGTAATTCCAGCACTTCGGGAGGCTGAGGCAGGCGGATCACTTGAGGTCAGGAGTTCAAGACCAGCCTGGCCAACATGGTGTACTTTCTATACTAAAAGTACAAAAATTAGCCAGGCATGGTGACATGCACCTATAATCCCAGCTACTTGGGAGACTGACATAGGTGGATTGCTTAAACCTGGGAGGCAGAGGTTGCAGTGAGCCGAGATTGTGCCACTGCACTCCAGCCTGGGTGACAGAGCGATTCTGTCTTAAAAGAAAAAAAAAAAAAAAAAGGCTGGGTGCGGTGTCTCACGCCTGTAATCCCAGCACTTTGGGAGGCCGACGCAAGTGGATCACCTGAGGTCAGGAGTTCGAGACCAGCCTGGCCAAGATGGTGTACTTTCTCTACTAAAAGTACAAAAATTAGCCAGGCATGGTGGCATGCACCTATAATCCCAGCTACTCAGGAGGCTAAGACAGGAGAATCGTTTGAACCCGGGCAGCAGAGGTTGCAGTGAGCTGAGATTACGCCATTGCACTCCAGCCTGGGCAACAGAGTGAGACTCCGTCTCCAAAAAAAAGAAAGAAAAAAAATCCAGGGCCAGTGTGGTGACTCATGCCTGTAATCCCAAAACTTTGGGAGGCTGGCCCAGCATGGTGGCTCACACCTGTAATCCCAAAACTTTGGGAGGCTGAGGCAGGCGGATCACCTGAGGTCAGGAGTTTGAGATCAGCCTGACTAACATGGTGAAACCCCATCTCTACTAAATACAAAAAATTAGCCGGGAATGGTGGCATGCACCTGTAATCCCAGCTACTTGGGAGGCTGAAGCAGGAGAATCGCTTGAACCCAGGAGGCAGAGGTTGCAGTGAGATGAGATCAGTCATTGCACTCCAGCCTGGGCAACGAGCGAAACCGCCTCTCAAACTAACAAAAAAAAACTTTGGGAGGCCAAGATGGGCAGATCACTTGAAACCAGGAGTTCGAGACCAGCCTGAGCAGCATAGACCCTGTCTCAACAAAAATTTTAAAATATTTTTTAAAATTAGCCAGGCACAGTGGCACACACCTGTAGTCCTAGATACTTGGGAAGCTGAGGTGGAAGGATGACTTGAGCCCATGGTTTTGAGGTTGCAGTGGGCTATGATGGTGCCACTGCACTCCAGCCTAGGCCACAGAGCAAGACACCATGTCAAAAGAAAAAAAAATCCAATCACCTCTGCTCACCTCCCTCTTCTCTCTCTCTCTCTCTCCCTCCCCCTCTCTCCCCTGCAACACACACACACACACACACACGCACGCACCACACACTCTGACGACCTTTAAAGGCTTCCTGTGGCTGGATGAAATCTAGAGGCTTTACCCTTCTTGCATGGCCCTGCATGACCTGGCCCCTGCCCTCCTCTCTGACCTCATCTCCCACCCGCCTCCCAGTCTCTCTCTCTGCTCCAGCCACACTGGCCTTCTGTTTGTCGTCAACACCCCCAGCTTGGTTCCGCCTTCCAGCCTTTGCAGTAGCTGCTCCCTTTACCTGAAATGCTTTGCTCCCAAACTTTTACCTGGTCACTATTTTTTGTCATTTGGGTCTCAGCTCCAGTGCCACCCAAACACTCAAAGAGGATTTTGCTGACTACTGTATTTAAAAGTAGCTCCCTGCCACTCTTACAACATCAGCCTGTCTTATTTTCTCATAGTACCAATTTCTTCTTCAGTTTCTTTCTTTTCCGTCTGGCCTCACTGGAATACAAGCTCCACAGGTGCTGGTACCTTCTCTGATCCCTTTGCCTCCATGTCCCTCCTGCCTTAGGACAATGCCCAGCATGTGTTAGGCACGCAGATACTCACTAAATGGAGGAATGGATGAATAATTCATAAAGCAGGATAAAGTTCAACTTTAGGCTTGTGGCTCAGATTGGACTTACATTTAGAGTCAGATTTAAGTTTAGTGTTAGGAGTGGTGGTAAACTGGTTTCAAGATTAGCCCTAGAAACAGGGTTGGGTTGGGGTAGAGGAGAAGTTTTATTTAGGGGGTTATTAATTGGGATGTGTTTAGATTTGAGGTTAGGGTTACAGTTGGGGTTGAGTTTGAGTTGTGATTTGGGTTGAGGTTAAATTTGGGTTAGGGTTGATGTTGGTATTAAATCCCAATTCAGGTTTTGAGGCTAAGTTCAAGTTTGAAGCTAATGTCATTTCAGTCTCATTTGGAGGCTTCAGAGATTTCACTAGTTTCTCCACAAAGACCACTATAAAGACTGTATTTCCCTGAGTCTGGGGCACAAGACTCCAGTCATCAGCTCTCCCACCCAGGGAAAGTCCCAAACCAACTGCTGGCCTGCCCAAGAAAGAAACCAAATTCATACAACCTCCGAAACTGAGATTGAAACCAAGATTGGCCCATCTCAAGGAGCATCCTTCGCATATCTCACATGCACGTGACACTGAGCCTCAGCCCAGTCTTACCCTTCCTTCCTCTGTGTCTCTCATGTCTCCCCATCACCCTTCTTGCCTTCCCTTTTTTGTCTTTCAATGTCCCATTCTTCCTCTTTAATTTAAATTTCTCTCTGTGTCTCACTGTTAATTGCAATACCTTTTTTTGTTTGCTTGTTTTGTTTTGTTTTGTTTTTTGGTTGGTTTGTTTGAAATGGAGTCTCACTTTGTTGCCCAGGCTGGAGGGCAGTGGCACGATCTCGGCTCACTGCAACCTCCGCCTCCTGGGTTCAAGCAGTTCTCCTGCCTCAGCTTCCCTAGTAGCTAGGATTACAGGCGCGTGCCACCATGCTCGGCTAATTTTTTGTATTTTTAGCAGTGATGGAGTTTCACCGTATTAGCCAGGATTGTCTCTATCTCCTGACCTTGTGATCTGCTCGCCTCAGCCTCCCAAAGTGCTGGGATGACAGGCATGTGCCACTGCTCCTGGCCTTGTAATAACATTTTATATTTTAATATAGCTCAGCTGGGGTCCCAGTCCATCAGCTCATACCATTAGAGAAGCAGAAAGAGACAACAGGAAGCAAAAAGGACCCTGAGAGAAAGGGCAACACAGAGAAAAAGAAAGGAGCAGGGGCTAAAAGGGAAACCCACACTGACACAAGAGATAATAAGGTTAAAAGAATGAGAAGAAGGTTGGGCGCAGTGGCTCACGCCCATAATCCCAGCACTTTGGGAGGCCAAGGCTGGTGGGTCACCTGTGGTCAGGAATTCAAGACCAACCTGGCCAACATGGTGAGACCCCGTCTCTACTAAAAATACAAAAAAAAATTTGGCGGGCTTGGTGGCGTGTGCCTGTAATCCCAGCTACTCGGGAGGCTGAGGCAGGAGAATAGCTTGAACCTGGGAGGCAGAGGTTGCAGTGAGCCAAGATCGTGCCACTGCACTCCAGCCTGTGCGACAGTGAGAAACTGTCTCAAAAAAAAAAAAAGGAAAAGAAATTTTCTGACTTATCTCATCTGATAGTAGGTTATAAGACCCTCATTCCAGAAGAGGTTCTGCCCTATACCTGGGAGGAAGGAATGCTGTACAGAGAGACCAAGAAGAATATGGCCAGGCCTTGCTGGGATCCCCCCAGTCCCAGTCTGTGACCATTAGATGATACTCCTTTTGTTCAATTACATTTCTGCACAGCTGTTCATTCTTCATCAAATCTAAGCATAAAAATAGTTTTCCCCTGGGTCCTTGGGTCTTCATTTCTGAAGGCTCCCATGTCACCTAAAACTTTGATTAAATAAATGTATTATGCTTTTCTCTTGTTAATCTGTCTTTTATTATAGGAGTATTGGCCATAACCCTTATGATGGGTCAGGAAGGGATCACCCCTTTCTGCCCCTACAGAAATAATAGCTAAGACTAGTAAAGCATAAAAGGCAAAGGGGCAGGTCCTCAAGTAGAGAAGAACAGGAGAAATAGCTCATACACACCCAGAATGTTACTTACATGTCCCTCCATGTTACACCAAGACCCCTCAGGGACCTTGTGCCTGGGGAGAGAAGTGGTCTGCCCCATGCAACAGTGGGCTTTACCCCGGGTCACCACCAGCCCCAGCTCCAACCCCTCTAACACTCTCCAAGTAAAATCACATGAGTAGCAGTAATAATATTTGAGGTGACAAGTTGGTATTATCTCAAACTTAGGAAAAGTGAATAAAGTCATCTTTAGAAACTGCTTTTTTTAAACCTTGTAACTTGCAAGCTAAGTGAAAATGGGCTCATGTATGAGAATGTTCGTGTTAGACATTTTTTGTGTTAGACAAAAACTAGAAACAAACCAAATCCCCATCAACAGAATATATTAGAATATATTGATACAATAGAATATTACATCATAATTTTTTTAAAAAACATTACTGATACATACAACCACGTATATGAATCTCACAAACATAATGCTGACTGAAAGAAGTCAAACAGAAATGAGTACATTCTGTGTGATTTCATTTATATGATGCCCCAAACCAGGAGGAAATAATCTATGGTGATAAAAGTGAGAGAGTGGTTGGTTATCTTTGGAGGGTATCAGCAGGGAGGGGGCATGAGGGAACCTGCTGGGGACCTGAAAATACGTGGAGCTGGGTGGTGGCTACATACAGATGGAAAAATTCATCAGCTGTACACTTAAGAGGTGTCCACCTCATACCTAAGTTACATATCAATAAAAAGGAAAAAAATTTTGGAAACTTTTTTTTTTTTTTTGAGACAGAGTCTTGCTCTGTCCCCCAGGCTGGAATACAGTGGTGCGATCTTGACTCACTGCAGCCTCCGCCTCCCAGGTTCAAATAATTCTCCAGCCTCAGCCTCCCGAGTAGCTGGGACTGCAGATGCGCACCAGCACGCCTGGCTAATTTTTGTATTTATTATAGAGATGGGGTTTCACCATGTTGGCCAGCTGGTCTCAAACTCCTGACCTCAAGTAATCCGCCCACCTCAGACTCCCAAAGTGCCAGGATTACAGGTGTGAGCCACTGCACCAGGCCTGGAACAATTTTAAAATAATGTATTGGCTCTGCAAATGCAGCTTCAGAACAAGTCCCTTAGCTGTCCCCACCCCACCCTAAGTCACCACCCTTAAGCCTCACCCATGTGGAATTCTGAAACTTCCTTTGTAGAAAACTTTGGAAGGTGTCTGCCACATTGATCCTGGAATGTGTGTTTATTTGGGGTTATATAAATCTGTTCTGTGGAAGCCACCTGAAGTCAGGAAGAGATGGAGGGCATCCTTCAGGAGTGAGATGAGACCTCATCATACTTGACTGTCCAGCATCATCTCTGAGTAAGGGGACCAAAAAATTTATCTTCCAAACTAGGACACTTTCAAGAGTGGAAGGGGGATCCATTAATATTTTCACCTGGACAAGAGGCAAACACCAGAATGTCCCCGATGAAGGGGATATATAATGGACCTTCTTGATGTGAAACCTGCCAGATGGGCTGGAAAGTCCGTATACTGGGACAAGTATGATTTGAGTTGTTTGGGACAAGGACAGGGGTACAAGAGAAGGAAATGGGCAAAGAGAGAAGCCTGTACTCAGCCAAGGGTGCAGAGATGTTATATATGATTGCTCTTCAGGGAACCGGGCCTCCAGCTCACACCCCAGCTGCTCAACTGCCTCCTCTCTGAATTGACTGTCCCTTCTTTGGAACTCTAGGCCTGACCCCACTCCCTGGCCCTCCCAGCCCACGATTCCCCTGACCCGACTCCCTTTCCCAGAACTCAGTCGCCTGAACCCCCAGCCTGTGGTTCTCTCCTAGGCCTCAGCCTTTCCTGCCTTTGACTGAAACAGCAGTATCTTCTAAGCCCTGGGGGCTTCCCCGGGCCCCAGCCCCGACCTAGAACCCGCCCGCTGCCTGCCACGCTGCCACTGCCGCTTCCTCTATAAAGGGACCTGAGCGTCCGGGCCCAGGGGCTCCGCACAGCAGGTGAGGCTCTCCTGCCCCATCTCCTTGGGCTGCCCGTGCTTCGTGCTTTGGACTACCGCCCCGCAGTGTCCTGCCCTCTGCCTGGGCCTCGGTCCCTCCTGCACCTGCTGCCTGGATCCCCGGCCTGCCTGGGCCTGGGCCTTGGTGGGTTTGGTTTTGGTTTCCTTCTCTGTCTCTGACTCTCCATCTGTCAGTCTCATTGTCTCTGTCACACATTCTCTGTTTCTGCCATGATTCCTCTCTGTTCCCTTCCTGTCTCTCTCTGTCTCCCTCTGCTCACCTTGGGGTTTCTCTGACTGCATCTTGTCCCCTTCTCTGTCGATCTCTCTCTCGGGGGTCGGGGGGTGCTGTCTCCCAGGGCGGGAGGTCTGTCTTCCGCCGCGTGCCCCGCCCCGCTCACTGTCTCTCTCTCTCTCTCTCTCTTTCTCTGCAGGTTCTCCCCATGACACCACCTGAACGTCTCTTCCTCCCAAGGGTGCGTGGCACCACCCTACACCTCCTCCTTCTGGGGCTGCTGCTGGTTCTGCTGCCTGGGGCCCAGGTGAGGCAGCAGGAGAATGGGGGCTGCTGGGGTGGCTCAGCCAAACCTTGAGCCCTAGAGCCCCCCTCAACTCTGTTCTCCCCTAGGGGCTCCCTGGTGTTGGCCTCACACCTTCAGCTGCCCAGACTGCCCGTCAGCACCCCAAGATGCATCTTGCCCACAGCACCCTCAAACCTGCTGCTCACCTCATTGGTAAACATCCACCTGACCTCCCAGACATGTCCCCACCAGCTCTCCTCCTACCCCTGCCTCAGGAACCCAAGCATCCACCCCTCTCCCCCAACTTCCCCCACGCTAAAAAAAACAGAGGGAGCCCACTCCTATGCCTCCCCCTGCCATCCCCCAGGAACTCAGTTGTTCAGTGCCCACTTCCTCAGGGATTGAGACCTCTGATCCAGACCCCTGATCTCCCACCCCCATCCCCTATGGCTCTTCCTAGGAGACCCCAGCAAGCAGAACTCACTGCTCTGGAGAGCAAACACGGACCGTGCCTTCCTCCAGGATGGTTTCTCCTTGAGCAACAATTCTCTCCTGGTCCCCACCAGTGGCATCTACTTCGTCTACTCCCAGGTGGTCTTCTCTGGGAAAGCCTACTCTCCCAAGGCCACCTCCTCCCCACTCTACCTGGCCCATGAGGTCCAGCTCTTCTCCTCCCAGTACCCCTTCCATGTGCCTCTCCTCAGCTCCCAGAAGATGGTGTATCCAGGGCTGCAGGAACCCTGGCTGCACTCGATGTACCACGGGGCTGCGTTCCAGCTCACCCAGGGAGACCAGCTATCCACCCACACAGATGGCATCCCCCACCTAGTCCTCAGCCCTAGTACTGTCTTCTTTGGAGCCTTCGCTCTGTAGAACTTGGAAAAATCCAGAAAGAAAAAATAATTGATTTCAAGACCTTCTCCCCATTCTGCCTCCATTCTGACCATTTCAGGGGTCGTCACCACCTCTCCTTTGGCCATTCCAACAGCTCAAGTCTTCCCTGATCAAGTCACCGGAGCTTTCAAAGAAGGAATTCTAGGCATCCCAGGGGACCACACCTCCCTGAACCATCCCTGATGTCTGTCTGGCTGAGGATTTCAAGCCTGCCTAGGAATTCCCAGCCCAAAGCTGTTGGTCTGTCCCACCAGCTAGGTGGGGCCTAGATCCACACACAGAGGAAGAGCAGGCACATGGAGGAGCTTGGGGGATGACTAGAGGCAGGGAGGGGACTATTTATGAAGGCAAAAAAATTAAATTATTTATTTATGGAGGATGGAGAGAGGGGAATAATAGAAGAACATCCAAGGAGAAACAGAGACAGGCCCAAGAGATGAAGAGTGAGAGGGCATGCGCACAAGGCTGACCAAGAGAGAAAGAAGTAGGCATGAGGGATCACAGGGCCCCAGAAGGCAGGGAAAGGCTCTGAAAGCCAGCTGCCGACCAGAGCCCCACACGGAGGCATCTGCACCCTCGATGAAGCCCAATAAACCTCTTTTCTCTGAAATGCTGTCTGCTTGTGTGTGTGTGTCTGGGAGTGAGAACTTCCCAGTCTATCTAAGGAATGGAGGGAGGGACAGAGGGCTCAAAGGGAGCAAGAGCTGTGGGGAGAACAAAAGGATAAGGGCTCAGAGAGCTTCAGGGATATGTGATGGACTCACCAGGTGAGGCCGCCAGACTGCTGCAGGGGAAGCAAAGGAGAAGCTGAGAAGACGAAGGAAAAGTCAGGGTCTGGAGGGGCGGGGGTCAGGGAGCTCCTGGGAGATATGGCCACATGTAGCGGCTCTGAGGAATGGGTTACAGGAGACCTCTGGGGAGATGTGACCACAGCAATGGGTAGGAGAATGTCCAGGGCTATGGAAGTCGAGTATGGGGACCCCCACTTAACGAAGACAGGGCCATGTAGAGGGCCCCAGGGAGTGAAAGAGCCTCCAGGACCTCCAGGTATGGAATACAGGGGACGTTTAAGAAGATATGGCCACACACTGGGGCCCTGAGAAGTGAGAGCTTCATGAAAAAAATCAGGGACCCCAGAGTTCCTTGGAAGCCAAGACTGAAACCAGCATTATGAGTCTCCGGGTCAGAATGAAAGAAGAAGGCCTGCCCCAGTGGGGTCTGTGAATTCCCGGGGGTGATTTCACTCCCCGGGGCTGTCCCAGGCTTGTCCCTGCTACCCCCACCCAGCCTTTCCTGAGGCCTCAAGCCTGCCACCAAGCCCCCAGCTCCTTCTCCCCGCAGGGACCCAAACACAGGCCTCAGGACTCAACACAGCTTTTCCCTCCAACCCCGTTTTCTCTCCCTCAAGGACTCAGCTTTCTGAAGCCCCTCCCAGTTCTAGTTCTATCTTTTTCCTGCATCCTGTCTGGAAGTTAGAAGGAAACAGACCACAGACCTGGTCCCCAAAAGAAATGGAGGCAATAGGTTTTGAGGGGCATGGGGACGGGGTTCAGCCTCCAGGGTCCTACACACAAATCAGTCAGTGGCCCAGAAGACCCCCCTCGGAATCGGAGCAGGGAGGATGGGGAGTGTGAGGGGTATCCTTGATGCTTGTGTGTCCCCAACTTTCCAAATCCCCGCCCCCGCGATGGAGAAGAAACCGAGACAGAAGGTGCAGGGCCCACTACCGCTTCCTCCAGATGAGCTCATGGGTTTCTCCACCAAGGAAGTTTTCCGCTGGTTGAATGATTCTTTCCCCGCCCTCCTCTCGCCCCAGGGACATATAAAGGCAGTTGTTGGCACACCCAGCCAGCAGACGCTCCCTCAGCAAGGACAGCAGAGGACCAGCTAAGAGGGAGAGAAGCAACTACAGACCCCCCCTGAAAACAACCCTCAGACGCCACATCCCCTGACAAGCTGCCAGGCAGGTTCTCTTCCTCTCACATACTGACCCACGGCTCCA
The DNA here is from genome assembly GCF_000001405.40 of Homo sapiens. Classification (NCBI taxonomy): domain Eukaryota; kingdom Metazoa; phylum Chordata; class Mammalia; order Primates; family Hominidae; genus Homo; species Homo sapiens. Next base: position 2,917,615 of record NT_167247.2, read on the forward strand.
CCCTCTCTCCCCTGGAAAGGACACCATGAGCACTGAAAGCATGATCCGGGACGTGGAGCTGGCCGAGGAGGCGCTCCCCAAGAAGACAGGGGGGCCCCAGGGCTCCAGGCGGTGCTTGTTCCTCAGCCTCTTCTCCTTCCTGATCGTGGCAGGCGCCACCACGCTCTTCTGCCTGCTGCACTTTGGAGTGATCGGCCCCCAGAGGGAAGAGGTGAGTGCCTGGCCAGCCTTCATCCACTCTCCCACCCAAGGGGAAATGGAGACGCAAGAGAGGGAGAGAGATGGGATGGGTGAAAGATGTGCGCTGATAGGGAGGGATGGAGAGAAAAAAACGTGGAGAAAGACGGGGATGCAGAAAGAGATGTGGCAAGAGATGGGGAAGAGAGAGAGAGAAAGATGGAGAGACAGGATGTCTGGCACATGGAAGGTGCTCACTAAGTGTGTATGGAGTGAATGAATGAATGAATGAATGAACAAGCAGATATATAAATAAGATATGGAGACAGATGTGGGGTGTGAGAAGAGAGATGGGGGAAGAAACAAGTGATATGAATAAAGATGGTGAGACAGAAAGAGCGGGAAATATGACAGCTAAGGAGAGAGATGGGGGAGATAAGGAGAGAAGAAGATAGGGTGTCTGGCACACAGAAGACACTCAGGGAAAGAGCTGTTGAATGCCTGGAAGGTGAATACACAGATGAATGGAGAGAGAAAACCAGACACCTCAGGGCTAAGAGCGCAGGCCAGACAGGCAGCCAGCTGTTCCTCCTTTAAGGGTGACTCCCTCGATGTTAACCATTCTCCTTCTCCCCAACAGTTCCCCAGGGACCTCTCTCTAATCAGCCCTCTGGCCCAGGCAGTCAGTAAGTGTCTCCAAACCTCTTTCCTAATTCTGGGTTTGGGTTTGGGGGTAGGGTTAGTACCGGTATGGAAGCAGTGGGGGAAATTTAAAGTTTTGGTCTTGGGGGAGGATGGATGGAGGTGAAAGTAGGGGGGTATTTTCTAGGAAGTTTAAGGGTCTCAGCTTTTTCTTTTCTCTCTCCTCTTCAGGATCATCTTCTCGAACCCCGAGTGACAAGCCTGTAGCCCATGTTGTAGGTAAGAGCTCTGAGGATGTGTCTTGGAACTTGGAGGGCTAGGATTTGGGGATTGAAGCCCGGCTGATGGTAGGCAGAACTTGGAGACAATGTGAGAAGGACTCGCTGAGCTCAAGGGAAGGGTGGAGGAACAGCACAGGCCTTAGTGGGATACTCAGAACGTCATGGCCAGGTGGGATGTGGGATGACAGACAGAGAGGACAGGAACCGGATGTGGGGTGGGCAGAGCTCGAGGGCCAGGATGTGGAGAGTGAACCGACATGGCCACACTGACTCTCCTCTCCCTCTCTCCCTCCCTCCAGCAAACCCTCAAGCTGAGGGGCAGCTCCAGTGGCTGAACCGCCGGGCCAATGCCCTCCTGGCCAATGGCGTGGAGCTGAGAGATAACCAGCTGGTGGTGCCATCAGAGGGCCTGTACCTCATCTACTCCCAGGTCCTCTTCAAGGGCCAAGGCTGCCCCTCCACCCATGTGCTCCTCACCCACACCATCAGCCGCATCGCCGTCTCCTACCAGACCAAGGTCAACCTCCTCTCTGCCATCAAGAGCCCCTGCCAGAGGGAGACCCCAGAGGGGGCTGAGGCCAAGCCCTGGTATGAGCCCATCTATCTGGGAGGGGTCTTCCAGCTGGAGAAGGGTGACCGACTCAGCGCTGAGATCAATCGGCCCGACTATCTCGACTTTGCCGAGTCTGGGCAGGTCTACTTTGGGATCATTGCCCTGTGAGGAGGACGAACATCCAACCTTCCCAAACGCCTCCCCTGCCCCAATCCCTTTATTACCCCCTCCTTCAGACACCCTCAACCTCTTCTGGCTCAAAAAGAGAATTGGGGGCTTAGGGTCGGAACCCAAGCTTAGAACTTTAAGCAACAAGACCACCACTTCGAAACCTGGGATTCAGGAATGTGTGGCCTGCACAGTGAAGTGCTGGCAACCACTAAGAATTCAAACTGGGGCCTCCAGAACTCACTGGGGCCTACAGCTTTGATCCCTGACATCTGGAATCTGGAGACCAGGGAGCCTTTGGTTCTGGCCAGAATGCTGCAGGACTTGAGAAGACCTCACCTAGAAATTGACACAAGTGGACCTTAGGCCTTCCTCTCTCCAGATGTTTCCAGACTTCCTTGAGACACGGAGCCCAGCCCTCCCCATGGAGCCAGCTCCCTCTATTTATGTTTGCACTTGTGATTATTTATTATTTATTTATTATTTATTTATTTACAGATGAATGTATTTATTTGGGAGACCGGGGTATCCTGGGGGACCCAATGTAGGAGCTGCCTTGGCTCAGACATGTTTTCCGTGAAAACGGAGCTGAACAATAGGCTGTTCCCATGTAGCCCCCTGGCCTCTGTGCCTTCTTTTGATTATGTTTTTTAAAATATTTATCTGATTAAGTTGTCTAAACAATGCTGATTTGGTGACCAACTGTCACTCATTGCTGAGCCTCTGCTCCCCAGGGGAGTTGTGTCTGTAATCGCCCTACTATTCAGTGGCGAGAAATAAAGTTTGCTTAGAAAAGAAACATGGTCTCCTTCTTGGAATTAATTCTGCATCTGCCTCTTCTTGTGGGTGGGAAGAAGCTCCCTAAGTCCTCTCTCCACAGGCTTTAAGATCCCTCGGACCCAGTCCCATCCTTAGACTCCTAGGGCCCTGGAGACCCTACATAAACAAAGCCCAACAGAATATTCCCCATCCCCCAGGAAACAAGAGCCTGAACCTAATTACCTCTCCCTCAGGGCATGGGAATTTCCAACTCTGGGAATTCCAATCCTTGCTGGGAAAATCCTGCAGCTCAGGTGAGATTTCCGGCTGTTGCAGCTGGCCAGCAGTCCGGAGAGAGCTGGAGAGGAGCCGCATTCTCAGGTACCTGAATCACACAGCCAAGGGACTTCCAGAGATTCGGGTGTCTAGGCTTCAAATCACCCTGTCCTAACTCTGCAACCTGAACCAGCCACTTAACCTATCTATCCAATGGGGATAGGAATGTCCACCACACATAGGGCATGTGAGAGAAGGCCTGACCTCCATCAGAGGACCTCACTCAGCCCTTGGCACAGTGGGCACTTAGTGAATTCTGGCTTCCTTCAACCAGTTTCCAGCTGTTCTATCCCCTTCCATTCTCTCAGTGGGTGAAATCGAAGAGACTGAGGACAATAAAGAACAAGGAACCGAACTGCCGGACGTGGTGGCATGCACCTGTAATCCTACCACTTTGCAAGGCCAAGGTGAGAGGATCGCTTGAACCCAGGAGTTCCAGAGCAACCTGGGCAACATAGTGAGATCCTGTCTCTATTTTTTAAAAAAGAATGAAACATAGGAATAAGATGTGGGTGAAGGACTCACATGCCGGCTTGGTCCCACTGGTCTTTGTGGTGAAGGAGGGGAGAGGTGAGAGGTGGGTAATCCGGAAAGAGAAAAGCACCCCCTCCCTGGATGAAGGCTCTTCTGGAGAGAGTCAAAGACAAATAAGGGTGGGGCGCAGTGGCTCATGCCTGTTATCCCAACACTTTGGGAGGCTGAGGTGGGAGGACCACTTGAGCCCACTAGTTCAAGACCAGCCTGTGCAACATAGCAAGACCTTGTTTCTAGAAAAAAAATTAAAGATTAGTCAGGTGTAGTGGTGCATGCCTGTAATCCTAGCTCCTCAGGAGGCTGAGGCAGGAGGATCACTCAAGCCCAGGAGTTTGAGGTTACAGTAAGCTATGATCATGCCACTGTACCCCCGTCTGGGTGACAGAACGAGACCCTGTCTCAAAAAAATAATAATTCCAAAAACAAATATGGAGACGGAAATTGAGCCCCCCTAGACTGGGAGCCCCCACTGAGTTCGGAAATTAGGCTTTACCTCCAGCCCTGGGGTGCCAGGCAGGAGAAAACCATGTGGTAGGCTGAGGGGGTAGGGTGACCCATTGGGGTGACCTAGATAGGGCCTTGGGTCACCCTCTGCCTCCTCCAGCCTGTGGCTGAAAGTCAGCCATGAAGTAATGGGGGACACTGTTACTCATCCCAGAAGCACCCACACTTACTCACTTTTGGGAAGGGGGACCTAAAGTGTGAAAAAAAGGTGAGGATTTTCCGTCTCACCCTAAATGGGACACCCTAAGTGGGGCATCGGTTTTTCCTCCTCCCCAGAACTTCCTGGTGTTTTCAGGCACCACAGGCTCCTTCCTGCCATCCCCATCTCTCTCTAATATTCTCCCCTTCTTTCTCCTTCAGCCTCCTCCCTTCAGACCCCATGAGCCTTGAATTAAGCTCCTTGGAGGAGAAGAGTTGACTGTCGGGTAGGAGACAGAGAGGCCTTCAGGCAGCTCTAGGGGGAGAAGTGCGGGGCCCCTCCAGGCTTCATTCCTCTGTCATGATAGGGGCTTACTCTGCTGCTGGGCCTTTCTGAGTGGTGCTTGCTGGGCTCTGTAATGACCCCTCTCACTGTTGGGGGGTACCCAAGAGAAAAGAGTATGGTGCAGAGTCTGGTTGGGACCATGTGGCCCTGAAAATCAGGATGCCTAGAGAAGCTTCGGAGTTTGAGAAGTCCCCCTTCCTCCCACCCTCCAACTGGGCTAATGGTGGGGCCTGGCCATTCAGAGGCAGGGAGGGGGTGGGACAGGCAGACCATCATCCCTAGGAGCAAAGGCCATACACTGTGTTGTGATGAATTGTTTCAAGCAACCAGAAGAGTACTGAGAATATTTAACCCGCACCCGTGCACCCACCCTGAATTAAGACGTGTGTCGCAACTCAGCATCTTTATCGGCAGCACTGAAGCTTTCCATTCTTTATTTTCATCAGGTTCAAAATCAATTTCCAAACAGTCTCCTACATTTTTCCCACTGCCATGGGGTCCTGGGCGTCCGGGCCCCCAATATTCACGCACTCGCACCACGCACTCATATTCCCTCACCCCACCATCACGGCCCCAAAGAAGGTCTTCCCTCTCGCGAAGTCCACCATATCGGGGTGACTGATGTTGACGTACACCCTCTCGCCCCTCCGGAGCTGCACCAGGCCGCCGAACCCCACGCTCGTGTACCAGAGAGGCCCGTACCCTTGTCTCCTGGCCGGGTCCAGCACTGGAGTCACCGTCTCGGCGCCCTCGAGCAGCAGCTCGGGAGTGCCCGGCCCGTAGGCGCCCCCCGCCCGGTACAGAGAGCTGCGCAGCGTGACCGAGCGGCCCTGGGGGTCCCCGCCGCCAGGGGGCGCCCGGCCCCGGTAGCCGACGAGACAGTAGAGGTAATAGAGGCCGTCCTGCGGGAGCGCCAGCCCCTCGGCGTCCGAGAACTGCGTCCCGCTCGTCAGAAACGCCTGTTCCTTCGTCGTCTCCCAGCCTAGCCCCTGCCCCTTCAGCGGAGCGCCTGCGGAGACACGGGCCGACGCGCTCTTGGGAATGCGATCCTAAAGGCTTGGGACTTCTGGGGAAGTGGCGGCTTTTAGCCCCTGCGGGAGCCGAGCCGGGCCGGGGGAGGAGGGATGGTGCTGTTTCTGGGATGAGTGCGAGTTGGGGGCCGAGGGAACACGGATGTGGGGTGCAGAACGCTGTAGTGGGGACCTCCAGGCCGGCTTTTGCTTGCACCGGAGGGAAGAAGAAACTACACTGCGGGGACGAGCGTAAGAGTGGGCACGAGCGACAAAAGGTCGTGAAGCGGGTGGGAAACCGAGCACTGGAATCATGGAGCCGAAGGACTCTGGGCGAGCAGAACTGGAACCTTCGGATTATTTACACTCTTATTCAGGTCTTGGAGGTCCTTACCTATGAGGTGGGCAGCTGGGAGCCCGGGGCTGAGATCTGTTTCTGGCTCCTCCTCTGGCAGCTTCTGAAACCCTGGAAGGGGCAAAGAGTCCACGATTGGGGGCAGGGCAGCCACCCATGCAGGCTACCCTTGAGAGAACAGGGCGCAGGGATGGGGAGCCTGGATTCCTAGAGGAAGAGGTATCTGGGGACGCAGCAGGGAGCTGGGAGCCCCTGAGGGTCTGAAGCGGGGAAGGAGAGACAGTCTGCTCTTACCCAGTCCTTGCTGGGCCTGTGCCCCGGGGTCGGCCGTCTCCGTTACCTGGTTGGGTGGGGTCACAGTGCCCAGAGTTCAGATTCAGCTCATGTCACCCCTACCCCTCTGAAAGTGGACCCAAGCTGCAGGCCTGGGGTTTCTCCTACCAGCACCATCCCCAACACACACCTCCTTAGAAGGGAGAACAAGCAAGGCATAGGTACTTGGGCGGAGAAACAGATGTACCTCGGGAAGAGGAGAGGAGACACAAGGGGCTTATGTCGGGACACAAGCACAACATCACAGGAACATGGAAAGAGAGTCAGCAAAGAGACAAGACATCCCCACCAGGGACAGCCGAGCCAGCTGAGCCAGAGGGGGCAAAAGACCACAGGCACAACCAGAGGGAGCCAAGCATCCGCAAGATACAACTCTCCACCAGGGCCTGTTGCAGCCACTCACCAGTCCTCCCTGATCCTGGGGCACTAAGGCCAGCACAGCCAGGACAGTGATAGGCACCGCCAGCAACAAGGTCACCAGAGAAGTGGCTCCTGCCACAGCTAGCAGGAGGGAACCCCTCCCCTGGAGCCTCCCACCCCTGCCCTCCAGCCCCAGTGCCCCCATTGAGACTGAACCAGAGCCAGAGCAGGGGGCTTTCATACCTCAGGGACGGGCCCACCCCCTCCCTGTAGACCTGCACACCTGGCTGGGACTTTCCGCACACCCCTGCTCCCCTCACCCAGCTTCCTGTTTACCCAGAGCTGGGGTGGGGCAGCTGGATGCCTGGGTTCTCTGAACTGGGGAAGAAGTTGAGGTTAGGGAGACAGGCTCTCAGGGTGGAACCAAAGGGGTCTTTAGACATCTTCTGGCTCAGCAGAGAGAGAAACTGAGGCCCAGGGAGGGAAGGTAGCTTGCAGGAAGCCAGTCAGCAGAGCTGAAATGAGAACACAGATCTCCAGGTTTCCAATGTGGTTTGCATTCTTCTATACCCTCAAGGTAGGTGCTGGAGGAAGAGCTGATCCCGTCTCTGAGGTCAAGGGCCGGACTAGGACAAGGACTGGAATCTTGAGGGATGGATGTCTGGGTTCCCTGAGAAGAACTGATTCCCATACTGGGCTGACCTCCTCCCGTTCCCTTGCTCATCTCCAGCCCCCTGTGCTGAGTGAGAAAGGGAGAGGTAAGCCTTAGCCTCACCACTGACTACTGACTCACTAAGGAGGGATGGAAATGGAGCTTTACCTCCCTTGCTACAAAAAGTAAAGACAGATGGACGAGGCATACTCCCACCCTCAGAGAGCTTCCAAGTCTACAATGAGCCCTATCCATTAGTAGGTGCTTACTAAATGTTTATACATAAATGAATAAAAGGACAAATAAATGCAGGAATAACCAAAACAAAGCAGCAAGGACCACATGAATGGTAGATGTAGGCAGCATGAGTGGTTAAGAGTCAAGGGAGTAGCCGGGGTAGTGGCTTACACCTGTAATCCCAACACTTTGGGAGGCTGAGGCAGGTGGATCACTTGAGGTCAGGAGTTCGAGACCAGCCTGGCCAACATGGTGAAACCCTGTCTCTACTAAAGATACAAAAAGTTAGCCGGGCGTGGTGGCACGCGCCTGTAATTCCAGCTACACAGGAGGCTGAGGCAGGAGAATCACTTAAACCTGGGAGGCAGAGGTTGCAGTGAGCCAAGATTGCACCATTGCACTCCAGCCTGGGCAACAGGCTGAGACTCTCTCTCAAAAAAAAAAAAAAAAAAAAAAAAAAAAGAGTCAAGGGAAGAAAGACCAGGTCCAAGGAAGCTGGAAGTGGCTCCAATCATCTCCCCTTCTTGGTAACATCTCTATGTGTTTCCGTAATACTAATAATAATATAGCTGACCCACAAAATGCACTTAACATGTTTATGCCACTGATTTACACACTTTAATAATTTTTTTTTTGAGACAGGGTCTCGCTATGTCACCCAGACTGGAATGCAATGGCAGGATCATGGCTCACTGCAGCCTTGACCTCCCAGGATCTATGGATTCACCTACCTCAGCCTCCTGAATAGCTGGGACTATAGGCACATGCCACCATGCCCAGCTAATTTTTGCATTTTTTGTAGAGATGGATTTTTGCCACATTGCCCAGGCTGGGCTCAAACTCCTGGACTCACGTGATCTGCCCGTGTTGGCCTCCTAAAGTGCTGGGATTACAAGCATGAGCCATCATGCCCAGCCAATAATTATAATCCTGACAAAAACCCTAAGAGGAAACTGAGGTACAGAGAGGTTAAGAAACTTATGGAGCTCACAGAGTCAGTGGCAGAACCAGAATTTGAACCCAGGCATCTGGCTCCAGAGCCTTGATAACAAGACAGTTTAAAAACTGAATACTGGGGCTGGGCGCAGTGGCTCTTGCCTATAATACCAGCACTTTGGGAGGCCAAGGAAGGTGGATCATCTGAGGTAAGGAGCTCGAGAGCAGCCTGATCAACATGGTGAAACCCCATCTCTACTAAAAATATAAAAATTAGCGGGGCGTGGTGGTAGGCACCTTTAATTCCAGCTACTTGGGAGGCTGAGGCAGGAGAATCACTTGAACCCAGGAGGCGGAAGTTGCAGTGAGCCGAAATCATGCCATTGCACTCCAGCCTGGGTGACAAGAACAAGACTCTGTCTTAAAAACAAAAACAAACAAACAAAACAGTATTAGGCCAGGCGAGATGGCTCACACCTATAATCCCAGCACTTTAGGAGACCAAGGCAGGTGGATCACTTGAGGTCAAGAGTTTGAGACCAGCCTGGCCAACATGGTGAAACCCCTTCTCCATTAAAAATACAAAAATTAGCTGGATATGGTGGCACAAACCTGTAGTCCCAGCTACTTGGGAGGCTGAGACAGGAGAATCGCTTGTACCCAGAAGGCAGAGGTTGCAGTGAGCCAAGATCACACCACTGGACTCCAGCCTGGGCAACAGAGCAAGACTCCGTCTCAAAAAAAAAAAAGAGTACTGACTTGAGATTTGTATGTAAAATTTGCCTTCCTCAGGCCAGAAAAGAAATGGGGAAATAAATACTGAACTCCAGTCAATGTTAAGCTTCTGAAGGGTTTAGATGTAAAATGTACTGATATTTGTAATTTTAAAAGATATTTAAAAGTGAGATGGATTGATAAATATGTGATAAAGCAAATAAAAAATGTTAATAGAGCCAGGTGCAGTGGCCCACTCCTGTAATTCCAGCACTTTGGAAGGCTAAGGTGGAAAGATTGCTTGAGACCAGGAGTTCAAAACCAGCCTGGGCAACATAGTAAGACCCCATTTCTACAAAGCCTCATGTGGTAGCTGGTGTCTGTAGTCCTAGCTACTCAGAAGGCTAAGGTGGGAGGACCTCTGAGCCCAGGAATTCAAGGCTGCAGTGAGCTATGATTTCACCACTGCACTTCAGGCTGAGTGACAGAGTGAGACCCCATCTCAAAAACAAAACAAAACAAAAAATGTTAATAGTAGCATCTAGGTGGTAAGAATATGTTCACTGTACAATTATTCTCATTTCACCCTATGTTTGCACTTTTTAATAATAAAATGTAAAAAAAAACAAAACAAACAAAAAACCCTGAATATTATTCAGCATGGGGAACATGGAGGATGGGGAGAAGGGTGGGGGAGGAAGTAGAAGGTTCTTGAATTTGGAAGGGGAAACGCAAATTAATATGGACCCACCCAGGCACCACATCTCCTCCTCACCCCTTGCCTTACAGGCGCTCCCCAGTCTTCACCCTCCTCAAGGAGTGGGTGTGCAATCCTCCAGCACCCATCTCCTTCTCCATCACAGTGCCACTAAGAAGCCTTCACCCAGGTCTCTCCAGAGAGCCTCAGGCCGCTGCCTTTACTTAGTTCTGTGTTCAGTGCCAGAATGCTGCCTCCTACAGGAAGTCCACCTGTATTGCCCACACCTCCTTTCCTGTCACCAACTTGTCACCAACTTTCTGTCCTTGATCTATCCACAGGGCTCATGTAGATCTAGTATGGCTGCCTTTAACTCTCATGTTTGTTAATCAGACAGCCAAGCAGCCTGCTGCATAGAGCTGCAGAACACCAAGTGGGTCACCAGAACACCAAATATGCCAGAGCTCCCAGTCTGAACTGGAGCAGGGTACATGTGTCCACAGACATATGCCAAGATCAAGAGGTCTCAACAGATGCAGTGTAAGAGGTAATAGAGAAGAGTTAATCAAGGAAGACACCTGAAGGTGGTGGGTGTTTGCTGACTAGTGGCAGGATCAGTGAAATGACTGGAGCTGAGGCAGATTATGGCCCTAGCTACAGGCCCAGAAGTTTGAAAAGAAAGATGTTGTAACCCTAACCCTGGAGCCGAACTTCCTCTCCTAACAATGCTGGGGAGGAACCCAGGCTGGGGGAGAAGTTAAAGCCAGAGGAGGGGCAGGAATGTCTGAGGTGGCAACACTTCTCTTCAGCCAGACAGCACTGGCCAGTTTGGAGTCTGTCCATCCTGCAGGCCACAAGCTCTGGGTAAGCTGGGAATGGGCAGGGACCTTGGTGGAAGGATGGTCACACCCCAGAGTGGGGTGAAGCTAAGATGAGGGGAGGGAGAGTATGGGTTTGAGTTTCCCTGGGCCGTCGAGGAATCCTCTGAGTCTCTGCTCCCCAAAGAAATTAAAGACAATTCATTTCTGTGCCCACGGCCCTTATGGCCTCCACCTGCACTTCTGCTCCCCACCCCCCAGAATTCCTCTTAAACCCAGAAGGGTCCCAGTTTCCAGACCCTAGTCAGTATATCTGGCTCTGGGGTGAAGAGAACGGCCCCCTCTTCACCCTCAAACAGGAACCAGTGGTTGGAGGGGAGGAAGTGCCTGAGGGGAAGTTATGGGGCCCCAGATACTCCTCCATGCCCCACTTCAGCCCTAGCAGCATCTGCCTGTGGGAAGCAGCTCTCCACACCAGCCAAGGGGGCCCCCACACTCCCGCGCTGCTCTGCGGCTCAGGGAGCAGCCCACCTGCTGGGTGTGCTGATATCACCCTCCCTTCTTCCCCCCAGTGCCCACACCCACCCAGGCCCAGGCTCCTTCCCCTCCATCATCCCCTTACCAGCACCTAGAACCATCCAGGGCTGAAAAGTCCCCTCCAAACCACGTGGTCAGCCCAGGGCAGAGGAAAGGGCTGGGCTCTGGAGTTGGGCAGAGCTGGCCTTAAACCCCAGCTCCACCTTTCTGGGATGGGTGACCTAGTAAAGTCCAGGCTTGAATCTCGGGTCTTTACTTGGGCAACGGGCACCATGATACCCTATGTTCTGGGGATTAGCAGTGAGGAATGGAAAGTGCCCAGCTCAGGGTTGGCACATAAGGGAGGCTCCCCAGCCTGGGAACGATTATAACAGAGGGCCCCTCACTTCACAGATGAGGAACTTGAGGCAAGTCACCAGCCCCTGATCATTTCGCCTAAAAGAGCAAGGACTAGAGTTCCTGACCTCCAGGCCAGTCCCTGATCCCTGACCTAATGTTATCGCGGAATGATGGTAAGTAAAGTGTCTCTTGCATCTGCATAGAGAGGGTCCTGGGAGCTTAGGAAGTGATGGGGAACAGTGATGTATGCAGCTCATGACTAGGTGGACAGGCCTCTGGGGACAGCTGGTACAGGAGGGAAAGGGACCTCACGGGAGGCCCAGAAACCTGGTAAGAGGTGAGGTATTAAGGTCTGGGATGGAGAAGCTCTGAGGGTATATTTTTCTGCCTCTAAAACTGTTGGAGAGGGAATCTGAGAAAGCTGCAACCAACCAGGAGGCTGGGGTACGCTGGAGAAGGAATGGGCTTCCTAACCTTGAGCCCTCTTCCCTGAAGATATATGTATCTACGGGGGCCTGGGGCTGGGCGGGCTCCTGCTTCTGGCAGTGGTCCTTCTGTCCGCCTGCCTGTGTTGGCTGCATCGAAGAGGTGAGCGCTGCACTCCCTCCCTCCCCCTGCAGCAGTGCCCCCTGTGCCCCCACCCCCACACGCTTTCCCACTGCTTTCCCAGAACACTGCCTGGCCCTGGAGCCACTGGGAAGCCAACAGGGGAGTCCACGCCTGCTGGTGGGGGGGGCCCGGGAGGGCCCGGGAGAAGCACAAAGGGTGGGCTGTGTTGAGCTTCTTCTTTTCTTCCAGTAAAGAGGCTGGAGAGGAGCTGGGTGAGTCTGGGGACAGGGAAGGGGGAGGGCAAGAGAGATCCTGAGTGGGTGAGTGGGGAGAAGCATGGCTGAGCGCTGAGAGGAGGGTTGGGGACGGGAGACAAGGAGAGAGAAAGTAGGAGCATGAGAGAGGCAGAGAAAATCGAGGCAAAAGAGAAAGAGAAAATGAGACAGAAACCAAGAGAAAAAGTGAGACAGAGGATAGGAGAGACAGGGAGAAAATGAGAGTGAGAGAGACACAAAGAGAAGAGCAATGAAAGAGAGAGAGAGAGGCTCCAGAACCAGGCACAGTGGCTCACGTCTGTCATTCCAGCTATCGCAAGGCTGAGGCAGGAAGATAGCTTGAGCTCAGGGGTTGAAGACAATCCTGGACAACATAGTGGGACTCTGTCTCCAAAGAAAAAAGAGAGAGAGAGAGAGAGAGAGAGAGAGAGGGAGAGAGAGAGAGAGAGAGGGAGAGAAGTAAGAAAGGCTGGAGGTGGGAGCAGAACTCACAGGGAAGGATCTGACGGCATCGCCTCCCATCAGCACCTTCTGTCCTGGTCCCAGGCCCAGGGCTCCTCAGAGCAGGAACTCCACTATGCATCTCTGCAGAGGCTGCCAGTGCCCAGCAGTGAGGGACCTGACCTCAGGGGCAGAGACAAGAGAGGCACCAAGGAGGATCCAAGAGCTGACTATGCCTGCATTGCTGAGAACAAACCCACCTGAGCACCCCAGACACCTTCCTCAACCCAGGCGGGTGGACAGGGTCCCCCTGTGGTCCAGCCAGTAAAAACCATGGTCCCCCCACTTCTGTGTCTCAGTCCTCTCAGTCCATCTCGAGCCTCCGTTCAAAATGATCATCATCAAAACTTATGTGGCTTTTTGACCTTTGAATAGGGAATTTTTTAAATTTTTTAAAAATTAAAATAAAAAAAACACATGGCTCACCCTTCCACCCACTCTGGGGTCAAATAGTAATTTATTGGGTGAATGACAGTGTTCAGGGACCCAAGCTCCCCTAACAGCCAGAAGAGGGTATGTGTGGGCCTGGCAGGAAAGGGCAGTTGCCAAGGAGGAGTCATATCTGATCCTTCCCATTTCTCAGGACAATCAGGCTCAGCCTCCTGGGACTGGGGGAAGCAGATGTGCTGAGCTCCCACATGGTGGTGGGAGGGGCGCTGGGACCACAGCCGGCAGCTGCCTTCTTGGACCTTTCCAGGTCAGACCTGGTGGAAGGGAAAGTTCAGAGTTGGGGGAATCCGGAGAGAGTAGATTTGGCATCTGGAGAATGGAGAAGAAAACACTTGAGACTCATGAGGAGTTAGTGGTGGGGCAGATTTATTGGGGTCTTTTGAAGAGGACTAGGGACATCTGGGCTCTGGAATCACTCCTCGGGGCCCATCTGAGGAGTGGCAGTGTGTTCCCATGTGACAGTGGCCTGGTCAGAGAGAGGACAGGAGCTGCTCAGTGTTGCAGTCCCGAGGCTCTCCTCTTCCTGATCTCTGTCCTCCCTCCTCCCACTCTCTTACTGCCCCTCCCATCCCGTCCACTATTGCCCCTGGCTCCATTACTCACATTTGCCCTGGTAATAGACGGTGCTGCCCACGGCCACAGAGAGAAAGCTGACAGCATAGAATCCAGCCCGAAGGAGGAGGACTGTACCAGCCCCTAGCTGAGGATGTTCTGCATGGGGCAATGGAGACGGGGGTTGGGGAAGAAGTGCACACAGGCTCAGGGAGGGAAGGGGCCTCAGAGGAGCATCCCTGCCTCCCAAGGACATTGCCTCTTGGGGCCTCCAGCCAGGAGGAGACACCACCTCCCAGCATCTCACCTTTCTCCACCACCAGCCGAGTCCCATTCCCTGTCCCGACACCAAGGCCCAGCACCTCCACTCTGCACACGTAGATGCTGGCGTCATGGCCTCGCACGTCCCGGATGTGCAGCTCAGCCTGGTGGTCATGGAGGAAACGGGAAGAAGCAAGTGGGGCCAGGCGGCCCCTGAACTCTGGGGTTCCATTCCTCACCTCCTTCCCTGGAACCACCTCATCTCGGAACCACGTGACGGAGCCAATGGCCAGTCTCCCTTGGCTGGCATTGAAGGAGCAGGGCAGGAAGGCAGAGGATCCTTCCAGGGTACGAATCTCAGGGGGCTGGGACACCCAGAGAGCACAGGATCCTGGGGGCAGAAGGAAGACCCAGAGAAACACCTCCCCAGTTATTCCAAAGAGAAAAGACAACAGAGCTTGGAGTAGAACATCCCAGCTTTCTCCAGGCATAGGGTGCATGGGAATAGATACTTTGGGTGCCTCATTAAACCCTTCCCTCTTAACCAATCTGATTTCTTAACATTGCTTATTAAATCATTTTTCGGCTGGGTGCAGTGGCTCACGCCTGTAATCCCAGCACTTTGGGAGGCCGAGGTGGGCGGATCACCAGGTCAGGAGATCGAGACCATCCTGGCCAACATGGTGAAACCCCGTCTCTACTAAAAAAATACAAAAATTAGCCGGGCATGGTGGTGTGCACCTGTAATCCCAGCTACTCGGGAGGCTGAGGCAGGAGAATCGCTTGAACCCGGGAGGCAGAGGTTGCAGTGAGCCAAGATTGCGCCATTGCACTCCAGCCTGGGCGACAAAGCAAGACTCCATCTCAAAAAATAAAAAATAAAAATCATTTTTCAAATTCTTCCTATACCAACTCTCACTCTCACCCTCTGCCATCATTCTCCAGCCAGTTCAGTAGTAACTTGTCTAGCTGAAATGTAAACCATCATGGTGAAATTAAGCTCATTAATGAATGCAGCTGCCTAGTTAACTAATATCACTCATTATATTATCCAGGTATTATTTTAGTACAAATGGCATTGTACAGTAAGCCATCCTTCCTCTTTTTCTTTTTTCTTTTTTTGAGATGGGGTCTTGCTCTGTTGCCCAGGCTGGAATGCAGTGGTGCAATCTTGGCTCACTGCAAACTCCGTCCCCTGGGTTCAAGCAATCCTGGTGCCTCAGCCTCCCAAGTAGCTGGGACTACAGGCACCCACCACCACGACTGGCTAATTTTTGTATTTTCAGTCGAGACAGGGTTTCACCATCTGGTCTCAAACTCCTGACCTCAAGTGATCCACCCACCTCGGACCAGGCTGGTCTCAAACTCCTGATCTCAAGTGATCCACCTGCCTCGGCCTCCCAAAGTGCACCCAGCCACTCTTGGTTTTCGTTAAAGAAAGTAACTAATTAAATCTCCAGGTGAACACGTGGCCTTAATTGGTTGAGATTCCTATTTAACCCGTCCATGTTGATGAATTAAACCAAATATTAAAATCCCTGATTAAATTATCTACTTAGGGAAATTTACAAGTCATTCTATTTCAGTGGTTCTCAAACTTGAGTGTGTATGGAAATTACCTGGAGCATCTGCTAGAACAGATTCCTGGGCCTACCCCCCGAGTTTTTGACTCAGTAGGTCTGGAGTGGGGCCTAAGAATTTGTTCTAGGTTCCCAGAAATCCACATTTTGAGAACTCCTGCATTTAGTTAATAATATGCCTGATAGTTAAGGTCTCTCAGTTCATTAAAAACAGTTTCGGCCGGGTGCAGTGGCTCACGCCTATAATCCCAACACTTTGGGAGGCCAAGGCGAGTGGATCACCTGAGGTCAGGAGTTTGAGACCAGCCTGGCCAACATGGTGAAACCTCGTCTCTACTAAAAATACACAAGTTAGCCAGCAGTAATGGCATGCACCTGTAATCCTAGCTACTTGGGAGGCTGAGACAGGAGAATCATTTTTACCCAGGAGGTGGAGGCTGCAGTGAGCTGAGATACCGCCACTGTACTCTAGACTGGACAACAGAATGAAACTGTCTCAAAAAAAAAGTTTCACCACCAGGCGGGCGCAGTGGCTCATGCCTATAATTCCAGTAATTTGGGAGACCGAGGCAGGCAGATCACTTGAGATCAGGAGTTTGAGACCAACCTGGCCAACATAGCAAAACCCCATCTCTACTAAAAATACAAAAATGGCTGGGCGCAGTGGCTCAGGCCTGTAATCCCCGCACTTTAGGAGGCCGAGGCAGGCAGATCACCTGAGGTCAGGAGTTCAAGACCAGCCCGGCCAACATGGTAAAACCCTGTCTCTACTAAAAATACAAAAATTAGTTGGGTGTGGTGGTGCGCACTTGTAATCCCAGCTACCTAGGAGGCTGAGGCAGGAGAATTGCTTGAATCTAGGAGGCAGAGGTTGCAGTGAGCCAAGATCATGCCACTGCACTCCAGCCTAGGTGACAGAGCAAGACTCCGTCTCAAAAAAAAAAAAAATTAGCCAGGTGTGGTCGTGCGTGCGTGTAGTCCCAGCTACTCAGGAGGCTGAGGCAGGAGAATCACCTGAACATGGGAGGCAGAGGTTGCAGTGAGCCAAAATCGCACCACGGCACTCCAGCCAGGCGACAGAGCGAGACTCAGTCTCAAAAAAAAAAAAAAAAAAGTTTCACCAAGAAATTTATCATAGATTTACTTGGATCTCTCAAACTAAAAAGCCTCACAGTGGGTGACACAGAGAGACTGTGAATTGGGGGAGTCCACTGAGTGTCACCTTTGGAGCAGTCCCACTCCTCCCTCAGAGCCGTGTGTTTCAGCCCCCACCAAGCCCGTTCCCTATAGCATCTAGTCCAGCCTCCTGGATCTCCCTCCTCCCACCCACACTCCTTGGGGTCCTGAGCGCACGCCCTGTCACCTGGATGGACCATGATCAAGATGAGCAACAGCATCCAGGCCATGTCGGAAGATGTCCCAGTTGGCGAAGGGGATCTGAGCAGTGAGGTCTGGGTGGAGGAGGAAGGACTCACTACTTGTAGCCAGGCCTTTGGTCACCAGATGGGGATGGGGAGCTTCCTATGACACACGGGACTCACACATCACTTGCCAAGGACCACAACTGCCAGGGACCTCGAGCATCAAATGCTTGCCTCCCTGAGGAGAGGGGACAGATGCTGCTGGAGGAGATGTCAGGGTCTCTAGGAGGCCAAGGGGCCAGCTTGTGGCAGGCTAGCTAAGCGTGTGAGGGGGAGGGTGGGGCTTAGATGGCTGCTAACCCAAGGGTGAGTGGGCGGTTGGGCGGGTGAGACCAGGATGTGGGTTCCCCCACCTTCCGAGGTTCAAGGAGACCAGCTTTTACCCAGAACAAGCCTCCAGGAGCCCTCCTTGGCCCAGAAGCTAACCTACTTACCCTCCCTGCTGCTCACCAGTACCCAGACCCATCCCACCCATTCCCTTCCTGGAATCTGGCCTCACTGCACCCCAGGGCTACTCCAAGATTTCTATGAGGGATTAGGAGAAGCAAGCTGATTGGTGAAGCTATATTTAATTTGCATAGCAATCACCTTGTGTGTGTGTGTGTGTGTGTGTGTGTGTGTGTGTGTGTGTGTGTGTGTGTTTGGTTGGGTTTTTTTGTTTTTTGTTTTTTTTTTGAGCTGGAGTCTCACTCTGTCGCCCAGGCTGGAATGCAGTGGCACAATCTCGGCTCACTGCAACCTCTGCCTCCTGGGTTCAAGCAATTCTCTTGCCTCAGCCTCCCAAGTAGCTGGGATTACAGGCGCACATCACCAAGCCCAGCTAAATTTTGTATTTTTAGTAGAGACAGGGTTTTACCATGTTGGCCAGGCTGGTCTCCAACTCCTGATCTCAAGTGATCCACCAGCCTCGCCCTCCCAAAGTGCTGGGATTCCTGTTTTGGTTTTTTGAGACAGGGTCTGGCTCTGTCTCACCCAGGCTGGAGTTCAGTGGCGCCATCACGGCTCACTGCAGCCTCAACCTCCAGGGCTCAGTTGATCCTCCCACTTCAGTCTCCTGAGTAGCTGGGACTGCAGGCGCACACCACCACACCAGGCTAATTTTTGTATTTTTTGTAGAGATGGGATCTCCCTGTGTTGCCCAGGCCGGTATCCAACTCCTGGGCTCAAACAATCCATCCACTTAGGCCTCCCAAAGTGCATGAGTCACCATGCCTGGCGAAATGTATTTCTTAAATAATGAGACTTGAAAGTCTAAATTACTCCTTAAACCATGGACTACAGGATGGATGTTATGTTAGCAGGCAGGAAAACAACATTCAGCTGGGCGTGGTGGCTCATGCCTGTAATCCCAGCACTTTGGGAGGCTGAGGTGGGAGGATCACCTGAGGTCAGGAGTCCGAGACCAGTCTGATCAACATAGAGAAACCCCGTCTCTACTAAAAATACAAAATTAGCCGGGTGTGGTGGGGCGCACCTGTAATCCCAGCTACTCGGGAGGCTGAGGCAGGAGAATCACTTGAACCCAGGAGGCGGAAGTTGCAGTGAGCTGATATCGCACCATTGCACTCCAGCCTGGGCAACAAGAGCGAAACTCCGTCTCAAAAAAAAAAAAAAAGAAAAAGAAAACAACATTCATCTCTTTGGACATCTCCATCAGAGCTCTTGGATAACTATGTACATTGTCAATGAGCAGTAATCATTTTAAAGAAATCTTGTTTTTCGGAGCAGTAGACCTCAACAGTAGGCTTAAAATATTCAGTAAACCAGCGGGGCATAGTGGCTTACACTTGTAATCCCAGCACTTTGGGAGGCCAAGGTGAGAGGACGGCTTGAGGCCAGGGGTTTGAGACCAGCCTGGGCAACATGGCAAGACCCTGTCTCTACAAAAAAATTTAAACTTAGCTGGACATAGTGGCACACACCTATAGTACCAGCTACTCAGGAAGTTGAGGAAGGAGGATTCCTTGAGCCCAGGAGTTTCAAGGATGCAGTGAGCTATGATTTTGCCACTGCATTTCAGCCTGAGCAATGGAGGGAGACCTTGTCTCTAAATAAAATACAATTTAAATTGGGAATAGTAGTAAATGGAGTTTAAAAAAAAATAATTTTGGCTAGGTATGGTGGGTCACACCTGTAATCCCAGTACTTTGGGAAGCCCAGGAGGGCAGATCACTTGAGTTAAAGAGTTGGAGGCCAGGCCAGGCATGGTGGCTCATGCCTGTAATCCCAGCACTTTGGGAGGCTGAGGCGGGCGGATCACGAGTTCAGGAGATCGAGACCATCCTGGCTAACACGGTGAAACCCCATCTCTACTAAAAATACAAAAAATTAGCTGGGTGTGGTGGCATCTGCCTGTAGTCCCAGCTACTCAGGAGGCTGAGGCAGGAGAATCACTTGAACCTTGGAGGCAGAGGTTGCAGTTAGCCGAGATTGCGCCACTGCACTCCAGCCTGGGTGACAGAGCAAGACTTTGTCTCAAAAAAAAAAAAAAAAAAAAAAGAGTTGGAGATCAGCCTGGACAACCTGACGAAACCCTATCTCTACAAAAAATACAAAAATTAGCTGAGCATAGTGGCTCATGTCTGTGGTCCCAACTACTCAGGAGGCTGAGGTAGGAGGATCATTTGACTCTGGAAGGCAGAGGTTTCAATGAGTTGAGATCATGCTGCTGTACTACAGCCTGGGCAACATATTGAGACCGTGTCTCAAAAACAAACAAACAAACAAAAAAAAGAAAAATTTTAAAATCAGTAAACCACGTTGTAAACAGATGTACTATCATCTAGGCTTTTATTTATTTATTTATTTATTTATATATTTTTTTGAGATGGAGTCTTGCTCTGTCACCCAGGCTGGAGTGCAGTGGTGCAATTTTAGCTCACTGCAACCTCCGCCCTCTGGGTTCAAGTGATTCTCCTGCCTCAGCCTCCCTAGTATCTGGGATTACAGGTGACTGCCACCACACCCGGCTAATTTTTGTATTTTTAGTAGAGACAGGGTTTGACCATCTTGGCCAGGCTGGTCTTGAACTCCTGACCTCAGGTGATCCGCCCACCTCAGCTTCCCAAAGTGCTGGGATTATAGGCATGAGCCACCACATCCAGCCATCTAGGCTTTATTGTTCCATTTACACAGCGTGGCAGAGTAAATTTAGCTAATTCTTGCCAAGTGCAGTGGTATGTGCCTATGTCTCTGCTACTCAGAAGGCTGAGGTGGAAGGATCACTTGAGGACAGAAGTTCAAGACTGCAGTATGCTACGATTTTGCTTGTGAAAGCCATGGCTCCATGGCACTCCAGCCTGGGCAACAGAGCAAGACCTTCTCTCTCTCTCTCTCTTTTTGAGACAAGGTCTCACTCTGTTGCCTAGGCTAGAGTGCAGTGGCACAATCACGGCTCACTGCAGCTTCAACCTCATGGGCTCACACCATCTTCCCACCTCAGCCTCCTGAGTAGCTGCCACACACCACCATGCCTAGATAATTTTTGTATTTTTTGTAGAGACAGGGTCTTACCATGTTGTCCAGGCTGGTCTCAAACTCCTGGGCTCAAGTGATTTGCCCACTCGACCTCTCAAAGTACTGGGATTACAAGCATGAGCCACTGCGCTTGGCCAACCTCAGCTCTACAAAAAAGAAAAAAAAAGTCCAGGCGCAGTGGCTGACTCCTGTCATCCCAGCACTTTGGGAGGCCAAGGAGGGCAGATCACTTGAGGTCGTTAGTTCAAGACCAACCTGACCAACATGGAGAAACCCCGTCTCTACTAAAAATACAAAATTAGTCGGGCGTGGTGGCGCATGCCGGTAATCCCAGCTACTCGGGAGGCGGAGGCAGGAGAATCACTGGGAGACGGAGGTAGTGGTGAACTGGGATCGTGCCATTGTACTCCAGCTTGGGCAACAAGAACAAAACTCTGCCTAAATAAATAAATAGATAAAATTAGCCAGGTGTGCTGGTGTGTTCCAGTAGTCTTAGCTACTTGGGAGGCTGAAGCAGGAGAATCACTTGAGCCCAGGATTTCGAGGCTGCAGTGAGCTATGATCTTGCCACTGCACTCCAGCCTGAATGACAGGGTGAGACCCTGTCTCAAAAAAAAAAAATCACTACTGACAGATCATAACAGATAAAATAATCAAGAAAAAGTTTGAAATATTGCAAGAATTACCAAAATGTGCCACTGAGACACAAAGTGAGCACAGGCTATTGGAAAAGTGACACCTACAGACTTGCTCAACACAGGGTTGCCACAAACTTCAATATATAAAAAAATGCACATCTGTGGAACACAATAAAACAAGGTAATACCTTTACAGGGATTGGTACAAGAGTATGCCAGACACTCTTGTATGTGTATCACACAGCTACAGGAGATAATACAGCACATAGAAGTGAAGGATGACATGTAATATGCCATGTGTCCACCCCTTACCGCATGCCCCCTTCTGGCTCCTTTTACTATTACATTTTTTAGAGACAAGGGTCTCACTCTATCACTCAAGCAGGAATACAGTGGTGTGATCATTGCTCACTGCAGCCTCGATCTCCTGGACTCAAGCAATCCTCCTGCCTCAGCCTCCCAAGTAGCTTGGAATACTGGTATGTGCCATCACACCTGACTTTTTACTTTTATTTATTTTTGAAAGACAGCATCTTGCTATGTTGTCCAGGTCTCAAACTCCTGGTCTGGCTCCTTTTATTTATTTTATTTATTTATTTATTTTGAGATGGAGTCTTGTTCTTGTTGCCCAGGCTGGAGTGCAATGGCTCAATCTCAGCTCACTGCAACCTCTGCCTCCCGGGTTCAAGCGATTCTCCTGCCTCCGCCTCCCGAGTAGCTGGGAGTACAGACGTGCGCCACCACACCCAGCTAATTTTTGTATTTTTAGTAGAGACTGAGTTTCACCATGTTGGCCAGGCTGGTCTCAAACTCCTGACCTTGTGATCCGCCCGCCTTGGCCTCCCAAAGTGCTGGGATTACAGGCGTGAGCCACCGCGCCCAGCCTGGCTCATTTTATATGAATACATGTTGTTGTTGTTGCTGTTGTTGTTGTGAGACAGTCTCGTTCAGTCGCCCAGGCTGGAGTGCAGTGGCACAATCTTGGCTCATTGCAACCTCTGCTTCCCAGGCTCAAGCAATTCACGTGCCTCAGCCTCCCGAGTATCTGGGTTCACAGGCGTGTGCCACCACACTCGGCTAATTTTTGTGTTTTTAGTACTGACGGAGTTTTGCCATGTTGGCCAGGCTGGTCTTAAACACCTGGCCTTAAGTGATCCACCCGCCTTGGCCTCCCAAAGTGCTGGGATTACAGGTGTGAGCCACCACACCTGACCTAATATATGTTTTTTCCTTTGTATCTGTGTTTCTAGCTCTGTGTCACAGTACTTTTGTAGACTGTCCAGTTCCCACCCATCACTGAAGTAATTCAGAGCTTTCTTTTGGAGAAGCAGTCATCTCATGGTTAAGAATGCTGGTTTGGAATGAGTCTAGGTTCAAATGTCAGCTCCCCCGCAATCCCCACAATTATGTTATACAACCTTTTTTTTTTTTGAGACAGGGTCTCACTCTGTCAACCATTCTGGAGTGCAGCGGTGTGATCATATGATCATAGCTCCCCGTGGCCTTGAACTTTGAACTCCTGAGCTCAAGTGACCCTCCCACGTCAGCCTCCAGAGTATTTGGGACTACAGACACACATCATCACGTTTGGCTCACTTATTTTTATTTTTTGTACAGACAGAGTCTCACCGTGTTGCCCAGGCTGATCTAAAACTCCTGGCCTAAAGCAATCCTCCCACTTCGGCCTCCCAAAGTGCTGGGATTACAGGTGTGAGCCACTGTGCCCAGTCTAATCTTGAACAAATTATTTTACCTCCCTAAGCTACCGGAACAACCACACATGCCACACAACCTGGGAAGGACCAACTCAGCCATTCTCCAGCAGCGAAGTGGCTGCCACCCCAGGGATATCTAACTAGAGGATGTGGGATGGAGGCGTCATGGCAAGGCAAGGCCTGCCCCCTGGTGGTCAGAGAGCATGGGAGGCCCGAGCTACCAATGGTGGCTTTTCTCAACTGGGCCTTGATTCCAGCTTCTGCCCGATCCCCTACCTTGCTTGCCTCCTTCTATCAACACCCCATTCACACCCCAAAGGATCAATATAGGAAAAATTGTCTCTACTATCTCAGCTGTAAGAAGCCCACGGTTTGGGGAGGGAGAAGAGGTCACCACCAGTGGGGACGTGGAATAAGTAACTGGCTGGGGATAAAACTCCACTCTTCCGGCCGGGAGCAGTGGCCCACGCCTGTAATCCCAGCACTTTGGGTGGCCGAGGTGGGCAGATCACCTGAGGTCGGGAGTTCGAGACCAGTCTGGCCAACATGGTGAATCCCCATCTCTACTAAAAATACAAAACTTAGCCAGACGTGGTGGTGCGTGCCTGTAATCCCAGCTACTTGGGTGGCTGAGGCACGAGAATCACTTGAATCCAGGAGGCGGAGGTTGCAGTGAGCCAACATTGTGCCACTGCACTCCAGCCTGGGCAACGAGCAAAACTCCGTCTCAAAAAAAAAAAAAACAAACTCCACTCTTCCACAGTGTACACTCAATCACATGGTTCTACTCCACGTCCCAAGGCAATGTGGCTTAGAAGACAAATCAGCCTAGGTTGGAGTCCTGGTGCCACTACTGTAAACTGGGGGTACCACCTGTAAACTTCCAGACCCCATTGCCCTAGGTGTTCAATGTGTGGTTCTTCTCCAGTGCTTCCCCCGTCCTGTGCAAGGGTGGCAGTGCCATTGCTACACCTGGACTCAAGGGCATCCTGCTCTCCCAGCTCTTTTCTATATCTAAGACTTCTAAACATTTGTCATAGCTAAAAATGTTCCAGATTCCAAAGACAGTATGTGGGTTTTTTTTTTCAGTCCATCTAGAATAAATCCTGATATGTGTGTACATTCAAGGGACCCCTTTTAATAACTCTGAGAACCTCTAGGGAAGGCTAACCTGCAAGACAGGAACTGCTGCGCTAATCAGCACAGTGGGCACAAGAATGGAACTTTTTTTTTCTTTTTTTTTTCTTGAGACAGAGTCTTGTTCTGTTACCCAGGCTAGAGTGCAGTGGTGCGATCTCGGCTCACTGCAACCTCCGCCTCCCGGGTTCAAGAGATTCTCCTGCCTCAGCCTCCTGAGTAGCCAGGATTACAGGCACCCACTACCATGCCCAGCTAATTTTCATATTTTTAGTAGAGACGGGGTTTCACTATCTTGGCCAGGCTGGTCTTGAACTCCTGACCTCGTGATCCACCCACGTCGGCCTCCCAAAGTGCTGGGATTACAGGCGTGAGCCACTGCATCCATCCTGGCC